>NT_187671.1:0-190932 GCF_000001405.40 Homo sapiens | reverse complement strand
GAATTCCATTCTAGCACTTGTGAGCATGTGTCTTTGCACCAGTCATGTCTTCTATTTTTTTTTTTTTTGAGATAGAGTCTCACTGTGTTCCAGCCTCTGGAGTAGCTGGGACTACAGGCACACACCACATACCCAGGTAATTTTTTTCATATTTTTAGTAGAAACGGGGTTTTGCCATGTTGGCCAGGCTGGTCTTGAACTCCCAACCTCAGATGACCTGCCTGCTTCGGCCTCCCAAAGGGCTGGGATGGCAGGCCTCTGAGGCTGGAGTACAGTGGTGTGATCTCAGCTCACTGCAACCTCCGCCTCCCGAGTTCAAGCAATCCTCTTGCTTCAGCCCCGAGTAGCTGTAATTACTGGCGTGCGCCACCACACCCAACTCATGTTTGTATTTTTAGTAGAGATGGGGTTTCACTGTGTTGGCCAGGCTGGTCTTGAACTCCTGACCTCAAGTGATCCAGCCGCCCCTGCCTTCCAAAGTGCTGGGATTACATGCAGGAGCCACCCGGCCCAGCCCGTCTTCTATTTAAGCCTCATTTTCCTCATTAAGTCATCATTACCTCTTTCTCCTCACACATAGTGAAATTCAAAGTCTCACTATTTTTTTTTCTTTTTCTTTTTCTTTTTCTTTTTTTTTGAGACGGAGTCTCACTCTGTCGCCCAGGCTGGAGTGCAGTGGCGCGATCTCAGCTCACTGCAAGCTCCGTCTCCCGGGTTCACGCCATTCTCCTGCCTCAGCCTCTTGCGTAGCTGGGACTACAGGCGCCCGCCACCACGCCCGGATAATTTTTGTATTTTTTTTTAGTAGAGACAGGGTTTCACCGTGTTAGCCAGGATGGTCTTGATCTCCTGACCTCATGATCCACCTGCCTCGGTTTCCCAAAGTGCTGGGATTACAGGCGTGAGCCACCGCGCCGGGCCTCACTCCTGTAATCCTAGCCGTGCGCCCCAGGCCCATCCCACCGTCATCTTCCAAACATCATTTTCAACCCTCCTGGCCTCATAGTTATTATTGTATTACCCCAGTTATCTTCCTGCCCCAGGGCACAGGCAGATGCCATTTCATTCTCTCCAGAGCCTCCTTTCTCCTGACAGCCACATGATTAACTCAAGTCTGAACGCATTTGCTCAGATGCCTTCTTTCTCTGTGAGGTCCATCTGGACAAACCTATTTAATATTGCTAGCTGCCATTTCAATCACTGTAAGTCTGTTCTACTTTGTCTTTTCCTTCCATAGCATCATTCCCTCCTGTGTGCTATCCTGACGTTGACCGATGGTGTGTCTCCTCCTGCTAGAATCTAAGTGCTGCACAGTCAAGATATCTGCCTGGCTGACTGTTACAGTGTAGTTCACTGTGTATACTATGCACTTGATGAATATATATATATAATAGTTTTGTTTTTGTTTTTCTGTGAGATGGAGTCTCGCTGTGTCGTGCAGTGGAGTGGAATGCAGTGGCGCGATCTCAGCTCACTGCAACCTCTGCATCCCAGGTTCAACAATTCTCCTGCCTCAGCCTCCTGAGTAGCTGGGATTACAGGCGAGCACCACCAGGCCCGGCTAATTTTTGTATTTTTAGTAGAGATGGGGTTTCACCATGTTGGTCAGGCTGGTCTCGAATTCCTGACCTTGTGATCCAACCACCTTGGCCTCCCGAAGTGTTGGGATTACAGGTGTGAGCCATGATGCCCAGCCTAAGTTTTGTATTTTTAGTAGAGACAGGGTTTCGCCATGTTGGCCAGGCTGGTCTCAAACTCCTGACCTCAAATGATGCACCATCTCGGCCTCCCAAAGTGCTGGGATTACAGGCGTGAGCCACCACGCCTGGCCTCGATGAATATTTTGAATGAATGCCACGTTTTTAGTGTCACTGGGAGGCTCTGATCGCTCGTCTGAGCTTAGAAGGACCAGTTACTCACCAGGAAAGGTGGGGTCTTCAGGTGCAAGGCTGGTGTTCTCAATGTCGCCTGGAAAAGGAGATAAAGAAAAAAAAGTAAGGGTTTTTGGTTTCCTCCGGTCTTGCCATTCTTTTTTTTTTTTTTTTTTTTTTGAGATGGAGTCTTGCTCTGTCGCCCAGGTTGCAGTGCGGTGGTATGATCTCGGTTCACTACAACCCCCGCCTCCCGGGTTCAAGCGATTCTCCTGCCTCAGCCTCCTGAGTAGCTGGGACTACAGGTGTCCGCCACTGCGTCTGGCTAATTTCTGTATTTTTAGTAGAGACGGGGTTTCACCGTCTTGGCCAGGCTGGTCTCGAACTCCTGACCTTGTGATCCACCCGCCTTACCATTCCTTTCTCTGTTCCCTCCTCCTTCCTGCTTCTGGTGTTCTTCCTCACATGACCAACCAGGCACCCAGGAAGTGGACGTCCCTTGGACACCCTCCCCATCACTCTCTGGGGATCCCTCAGGGCTCCAGGTAGCACATGGCGGCGAAGGGTGTGGGGAATTGAGCATTTCCTCACCTGTGACCAGGAGCTTCACTGGCTCACTGGGGAAAGACCAGGCATGGTTGTTATAGGAGCCAAAACATCGGTATGTCCCTCTGTGGGCTGTGGTCACAGGGCCCAGGGGGAACTCCGCCTGGACCTTCCCGTATCCGCGCTGTACGTGGCTGGATCTTCCCTCCTTGAGCAGTAAGAACATGCTTGTTGCAGTGTCTAGACGGCAGTAGAAGGTCACCTTCTCTCCCGAGATCACTTCGGGTCCAGGATGAACCGAGAGGGTGGGTGTGTCATACATTTCTATGAGAGAAGGTGGGGCCACCACACCAGAAACTCAGTGATGAGCAGCCAGCTATTTTTTTTTTTCTTTCTTTAGAGATGGAGTCTCTCTCTGTCGCCCAGGCTGGAGTGCAGTGACACGATCTTGGCTCACTGCAACCTCCGCCTCCCGGGTTCAAGCGTTTCTCCTGCCTCACCCTCCCAAGTAGCTGGGACTACAGGGGCCTGCCACCATGCCTGGCAGCCAGCTTTTTTTTTTTTTTTTAATTATTATTTTGGTCAAATACACACAATAGAAGATTTACCGTCTAAAACCATTTTTAAAAATGATACAGGGTCTTGCTCTGTTTCCCAGGCTGGAGCGCCGTGGCACTATCTTTGCTTACTGAAGCCTCGACCTCCTGGGTCAGGAGTTTGAGACCAGCCTGGTCAACATGGTGAAACCCCGTCTCTACTAAAAATGCAAAAATTAGCCGGGTGTGGTGGCACATGCCTGTAATCTCAACTACTTGGGAGGCTGAGGCAGGAGAATTGAGGCTGAGGCAGAGGTTGCAGTGAGCTGAGATTGTACCACTGCACTGCAGCGAGACTGTCTCAAAAAAAAAAAAAAAAGCCCCGGCCAGCCGCCCCGTCCGGGAGGTTGGGGGGCAGCCCCCGCCCGGCCACTGCCCCGTCTGGGAGGTGGGGGGGCGCCTCTGCCCGGCCGCCCCGTCTGGGAAGTGAGGAGCCCCTCTGCCCGGCCGCCACCCCGTCTGGGAGGTGTACCCAACAGCTCATTGAGAACGGGCCATGATGACGATGGCGGTTTTGTCGAATAGAAAAAGGGGAAATGTGGGGAAAAGAAAGAGAGATCAGATTGTTACTGTGTCTGTGTAGAAAGAAGTAGACATAGGAGACTCCATTTTGTTCTGTACTAAGACAAATTCTTCTGCTTTGGGATGCTGTTAATCTATGACCTTACCCCCAACCCCGTGCTCTCTGAAACATGTGCTGTGTCCACTCAGGGTTAAATGGATTAAGGGCGGTGCAAGATGTGCTTTGTTAAACAGATGCTTGAAGGCAGCATGCTCCTTAAGAGTCATCACCACTCCCTAATCTCAAGTACCCAGGGACACAAACACTGCGGAAGGCCGCAGGGACCTCTGCCTAGGAAAGCCAGAGACCTTTGTTCACATGTTTATCTGCTGACCTTCTCTCCACTATTGTCCTATGACCCTGCCAAATCCCCCTCTCCGAGAAACACCCAAGAATGATCAATAAATACTAAAAAAATTAAAAAAAAAAGAATAAATGAGTAGCTGTGTTCCCCTGCCAGAACCTCCAAACAAGGTCCAAAGACCCTGAGCAAATGAAAAGGCACAGACAAAAAATATATATATTTCAAC
Source organism: Homo sapiens (assembly GCF_000001405.40). Classification (NCBI taxonomy): domain Eukaryota; kingdom Metazoa; phylum Chordata; class Mammalia; order Primates; family Hominidae; genus Homo; species Homo sapiens. The sequence goes on along the minus strand of NT_187671.1, from coordinate 186,827 downwards.
ACAAGTATATGACACAGAATATAGAAATAACTTTTCCTAATCAATCAAAATATAAGCAACCCAATTTAAAAATAGGCAAAAGATTTAAATAGACATTTCACAAAAGAAGATATTTGAATGGACATGAAATACTGTTGTGAGCTGCATAATGACATTTTGGCCAACAATGTACCACATATATGATGGTGGTCCCATAAGATTATAATGAAACTGAAAAATTCCTATTGCCTGATGACATCATAGCCTTCCTAGCACAAAGTATTGCTCATGTGTTTTTGGTGTTGCTGGTATAAACAAACCTAATTGTATAGCACATACAATTATGTATGTATATGTAACTATGTATAATACTTGATAATAATAATAAACAACCATATTGTTAAAAAAAAAAAAAAGCTAATTTTTTTTTTTTTTTAGAAAACCACCACCTGGCTGGGTGTGATGGCTCACACCTGTAATCCCAGCACTTTGGGAGGGTGAGGCGGGCGGATCATCTGAGGTCAGGAGTTCGACACCACCCTGGCCAACATGGTGAAACCCCATCTCTACTAAAAATACAAAATGTGGCGTAGTGGTGGGTGCCTGTGATCCCAGCTACTTGGGAAGCTGAGGCTGGAGAATCACTTGAACCCAGGAGGTGGAGGTTGCAGTGACTGGAGATTGCACCACTGCACTCCAGCCTGGGTGACAAGAGCGAAACTCCGTCTCAAAACAGATAAAAAAAAAAAAAACCCACCACCTGTGATGGGTGAGGGAAGCAAAGTGTAAGCCACTGCGCCTGGCCCACAGGCATTGTTTTTGAGGACATTCCTCAGTCATACCCCTGCATACAAATATCTATCTCAGAATCTGTGTCATGGAGAAACTGACTGAGGACACATCTGCTCCTAGGACGTAGAGACACGGTCTGCAGACAACCCCTTGTAGGCAAGGATTGTGATGGGGATCACCCCTCCTTCCAGCCTCCTACCGAGACAAGCAGTGTCTGAGTGGGGCTTGGAAGAGTTCATAGATGATGCTGCATCCCGGATGCAGACTGAGATCACTCTCCAGTTAGAGAACCGGACAGTTACCTGTTACCACCAGATCCAGCAAGTTGCTGGGCTCTGACCAGAGCTCCCCAACCCGATAGATGCAGCTGTATTGCCCTGCCATGCGGGAGTTCATGTCCGGGATGTAGAATTGGACTTTGTTAATCCGCTCAGGGGGTTTTGGTCTGTCCACGGCAAAAAGGCTTCCTTCAAAGTGCAGCTGGTATTCAACAGCCCCATAATTTCCCTGGCAACAGATGGTCACTTGCTTTTCCTTTGGAACCATGAAATGGGGCTCGGCCCAGATGAACGGTTTTGGGAGAGTCTCTGGAAGGGAATCAGAGGCTGGAGTTCCAGCGGAGCCCCCTCCCCCCAACCTTAGGCTCCACCCAGCTGCTGGCCCCAAGCTCTCCTGGGAAGCCAGCACCCTGTCCCCTCACCCCAGCCGTGCTTGGGTGGAAGGAGCTTGGCCTGAATCCGGAAGAGTGACCCTGGGCTTTGAAGGAAGGACTCACGCTGCTGGGCGCTGATCCTCTGACTCAGACACAGCCCTGGAAGACGGGAGTAATGAGACCTGTTGCCTCCCAGGCACACCGTGATCCCATTCCCCTTCCACGCCAGAACTCACCGACGCAGAGCAGGGCAGGGAGTGTGGAAGACATCGCTCAGATTCTGCCGGCCTAGTGCTGAGCAGTGGGGACTGAGCCGGGCGGGCCAGGGAGATAGATACACAGGAAGTGGTGGGTGAGCACCAGCGCCCATCACCAGAGCGCTTTCACGTTGACTGCTTTCATCAGAACGTTCACAACTCCCCTCCGCCTCTGACCATGAGCTTACAGAAAGGCCGTGGTCCCTCTGACACATCTGTGGTCTAGCCAGCAACTCTGACAATTGTCTGCTCAGCCCAAAATGCATTTCTGGGTCAACTTCTCAATTCTGCAATGTGGAGGTCGTACCCAGAGCTGACTGTGGGAAGTTGTGCCCAATCATGCCCAGAGGAAACCCCCTGAGAATCGTATAAAAACATAGGGAGTTTCACAGTGAGATACTGGAACAGGAATTAAAAGAAATTACAGAATGTGTAAACAAAAACTCAGTTGTATTTAAGAAAACCCAGTTCCCCCCGAGGAAGAGAAAGAGGTGGAGTCCTTTAAACATGAACTGCCTGTTTTTCTGTCTGTGGCTAGTGAGCCTTATCTCTCCCTTTCCCAGGCATTGTGAAGACCCTGTTTCTCTTGCCGTGCGGCTGCAAGGTCACTAGACAGGATAACCTCAAGTCGTAAAACATATTTTTCTTGAAAAGTAAGGAATAATGTGATGCATGTCTCAATTGAATAACTGCCTTTGTTTCTTGCTTCTGTAATATGCTTCCCCCTGCACAGATCTCCCCCAACCCCACAAAATGCTTAAAAGGTAACCGGACTCTCTGTTCGAGCCTCAGTCTTTTTGGATGTTAATCTGACTGGGGCCGGTGCACCTAAATAATAATAATAATAATAAATCCTCCTCAACCCCTCGGTCTCTCTGATTCCTAAATTATCCCTCAACAATACCATCTCACACCAGTCAGAATGGCCATTACTGAAAAGCCAGAAATTAACAGATGCTGGTGAGATTGTGGAGCAAAGGGGACACTTATACACTGTTGGTGGGTGTAAATTAGTTCAGCCACTGTGGAAAGCAGTTTGGTTTGGAGATATTTCAGAGAACTACAAACAGAGTTACCATTCAGCCCAGCAATCCCATCGCTGGGTATATAGCCAAAGGAAAATAAATCATTCTACCAAAAAGACACATGCACTTGTATGTTCATTGCAGCAGGATTCACAATAGTGAAGACATGGAATCCACCCAGGTCCCATCAGAGGTGGACTGGATAAAGACAATGTGATATGTATACACCACAGAACGCTATACAGCCTTGAAAAATCACAAGATTATGTCCTTTGCAGCAACATGGATGCAGCTAGAGGCCATTATCCTAAGCGAGTTAACACAGAAACAGAAAACCAAATACTGGCCAGACACGGTGGCTCAGGCCTGTCATCCCAGCACTTTGGGAGGCTGAGGCAGGTGGATCACCTTAGGTCGGGAGTTCGAGACCAGCCTGACCAACATGCAGAAACCCTGTCTCTACTAAAAATTCAAAATTAGCCGGGTGTGGTGGCACATGCCTGTAGTCCCAACTACTCGGGAGGCTGAGGCAGGAGAATTGCTTGAACCTGGAAGGTGAAGGTTGCAGTGAGCCGAGATGGTGCCATTGTACTCCAGCCTGGGCAACAAGAGTGAAACTCCATCTCAAAAAAAAAAAAAAAAAAGAAAAGAAAACCAAATACCACATGTTCTCACTTATAAGTGAGAGCGCTAAACATTGGGTAAGGAGGGGAGCAAGGCTTGAAAATCTACCTATTTGGTGACTAGATCATTAATGCAAGCCTCAGCATCATGCAATATACTCATAAAAAACCTGCACATGTATCTGCTGAATCTAAAAAGATAAAAATAGGGGTTTTGACGTTGGCTTCTCTGTGTACAGTATACATATGCTTGGATAAGTTAATTGGTTTCATCAGAATGGAATGATAACACTATCTTCTTCAAAGATAGTGTTATAATGTTTCAATAAAATAAAAGTGAAAAGAAAAGCTTTTCATTTAAAGAACTTAATAAGAAAAGAAACATTTCTTTTCTTTTTCTTTTTCTTTCTTTTTTTTTTTTTTTTTTGAGACAGAGTCTTGCTCTGTTGCCCAGGCTGTGGTGCAGTGGTGTGATCTCAGCTCACTGCAACCTCTGCCTTGTGGGTTCAAGCAATTCTCCTGCCTCAGCCACCTGAGTAGCTGGGACTACAGACACCCAACACCACGCCCAGCTCATTTTTGTACTTTTAGTAGAGACCGGTTTTTACCACGTTGGCCAGGATGGTCTCCAACTCCTCACCTCAAGTGAATCTTCCTGCCTCGGCCTCTCAAAGTGCTGGGATTACAGGTGTGAGCCACCACACCCAGCCAAGAAACATTTCTTTTAAGTAAGTAACTAACTCTCCACTTAATAAAAAAAAATTCTATGCAGAAGTTGTTAAGATCTACAGTAAGAAAAAAGAAATTCATGCATTTTATATATACACACATATATACATATATACCTTTTATATATATACACATATATACATTTATACATATATGTATACATATATACATATATGTGTATATATACTGCATAGTACCGTACATGTATATATACACATGCATATATACACATACATGTATATGCGTATATATACACATATATGTATATATACACACATGCATACATGCATATATATGTATACACACATGTATGCGTGTATACATACATATATGTATATACATACATGTATCCGTGTATACATACATATATGTATATACATACATGTATGCGTGTATACATACATGTATGCGTGTATACATACATATACATATATGTATATACATACATGTATATATACATGTATGTATATATGCATATATGTATATACATACATGTATATATACATGTATGTATACATATACGTATATGTGTATATATGTATATACATATATATATACATGTAAGGTACTATGTAGTTTTCAGCATCCACTGGGGCCTTGGAATATATCCTGGTGGATACATGTGACTACTGTACAAGACTAGTTGTATCTTCTTGAGGCAAACAAATGTGCTAATTCTTTTTTTTTTCTCTTTAAGACGGAATCTCACTCTGTCCCTCAAGCTGGGGTGCAGTGGTGCAATCTCAGCTCACTGCAACCTTCACCTCCTGGGTTCAAGCAATTCTCCTGTTCTAGCCTCCCAAGTAGCTGGGATTACAGGCGTGTGCCACCACACTCGACTAATTTTTGTATTTTTAGTAGAGACAGGGTTTCCCCATGTTGGCCAGGCTAGTCTCGAACTCTTGACCTCAAGTGATCAGCCCACTTTAGCCTCCCAAAGTGCTGGGATTACAGGCGTGAGCCACCACACCCAGCCCGCCTCCTTCTTATTTACTGAAGATTCAGTACTCGGTGCTGGCGTTTCCCCTTACACAGCTGTCATAACTCTGGGTGTTTTCTTTATCCTTCCCCCTACGGAGCGCTTGGATGCCCTCTATGGAGGAGACTTATGTAGGCTGGATCCTCAGACCTCAGCCACCCTCTCAGCCATAACATAGTTACCTTCACCAAAGAAATATAAGAATATTGTCTTTTATTATTTTGAGCTTTTAATTTTGACATAATTCCAGACTTGCAAAAATAGTTTAAAGAATTTCTGGCCAGGTGCAGTGGCTCACACCTGTAATCCCAGCACTTTGGGAGGCCGAGGTGGGTGGATTGCTTGAGACGAGCCTGGGGGAAAAAAAAATGCAAAAATTAGCCAGGTGTGGTGCTGTGCGCCTATAGTCCCAGCTACTTGGGAGGCTGAGGTGAGAGGGTCATCTGAGCCCAGGGAGGTAGAAGCTGCAGTGAGCCATGATCGTGCCACTGCACTCTAGCCTGGGTGACAGAGTGTTACCCTGTCTATAAAAAAAAAAAAAATCTGTAATTTCTTCATCCAGATTTCCCCAAAGTTAGCATTTTACCACATTTGCTTCATCATTCAGCCTCTCTCCCTCTCCCTCTCTCCCCGAAGAAAGTGTGTCTAATTTGCATATGATGCCCTAAACCTCTAATCACTTCAGGTTATATTTCCCAAAACCAAGGACATTCTGTTATTAATGTTCAAGGTCAAGAAATAGCACTGATATGACACTATTGTCTGATCTATCCACTTTATTCAAATTTCACCACTTGTTTTACCAGTGACATATATTTGGTTTAGGATTTAATCCAAGATTACACAATTTATTTAATTGTCATGTCTCTCTTATTTGGAGATGGAATCTTGCTCTGTAGCCCAGGCTGGAGTGCAATGGTGTGATCTCAGCTCACTGCAACCTCCGCCTCCTGGGTTCAAGCAATTCTCTTGCCTCAGCTTCCTGAGTAGCTGGGATTAGAGGCACCCACAACCACGCCCAGCTAATTTTTGTATTTCTAGTAGAGATGGGGTTTCGTCAAGTTGGCCAGGCTGGTTTTGAACTCCTGAACTCAACTGATCCACCTGCCTCAGCCTCCCAAAGTGCTGGGATTAGAGGCATGAGCCACCACGCCCAGCCTCCTTTAAAAAATAAAACTATAGACTTTATTCTGATTTCACCAGTTTTTCCACTAGCATCCTTTCTTCGCTCCAGGAGCTCCAGTGATCCGCCTGCCTCAGCCTCCCACCTGCCTCGGCCTCCCAAGGTATTGGGATTACAGGTGTGAGCCATCTGGATCTATTTAATTCAGCCTTAAGCCCACACCAGCATTCCTGGGACTGTCCCCCCTCTACAGACTCTAAGCCATGTTTGAGATGATGAATTTCAAGTCGTGATTCAATCACTTAAGTGGTAAGTGACACAGAGGATATTACTAATCTTTTTTTTTTTTTTTTTTTTTTTTGAGATGGACTCTCGCTCTGTCACCCATGCTGGAGTGCAGTGGCGCAATCTCGGCTCTCTGCAAGCTCTGCCTCCGGGGTTTATGCCATTCTCTTGCCTCAGCCTCCTGAGTGGCGCAATCTCGACTCACTGCAAGCTCTGCCTCCCGAGTTTATGCCATTCTCCTGCCTCAGCCTCCTGAGTAGCTAGGACTACAGGTGCCCACCACCACGTCCGGGTAATCTTTTTTTTTTTTTTTCAAAGTAGAGATGGGGTTTCACCATGTTAGCCAGGATGGTCTCCATCTCCTGACCTCGTGATCCGCCCTTCTCGGCCTCCCAAAGTGCTGGGATTACAGGCGTGAGCCACCGCACCCGGCCTTTTTTTGGTATTTAAAAATATAACTTTATTGAGATATAATTTACATGCCATACAATTACCCATTAAAAGTGCATAATTCAATGGTTTAAATTTTGTGGTATTCACGGAGTTGGTGCAACCGTCAACACAGTCTAATTTTAGAATGTTGTCATCACTGCCCTTCAGAACCCCATGCCGACCAGCTGCCCATCACCACGATCCCCTCACTCTCCCGGCCCTAGGCAACCACTCATCTTCTGTCTCTAAACACCAGAAGGTACTTTTCAAAAATTGTGGCAAAATACACATAACATACATTTTAATATTTAAGAAGTTTTCTAAGGCCAGGTGCAGTGGGTCATGCCTGTAATCCCAGCACTTTGGGAGGCCGAGGTGTGCGGATCACCAGGTCAGGTGATCCAGACTGTCAGGCCTCTGAGCCCAAGCTAAGCCATCATATCCCCCTGTGGCCTGTATGTACACATCCAGATGGCCGGTTCCTGCCTTAACTGATGACATTCCACCACGAAAGAAATGAAAATGGCCTGTTCTTGCCTTAAGTGATGACATTATCTTATGAAATTCCTTCTCCTGGCTCATCCCGGCTCAAAAGCTCCCCTACTGAGCACCTTGTGAACCCCACTCCTGCCCGCCAGAGAACAACCCCCTTTTGACTGTAATTTTCCTTTACCTACCCAAATCCTATAAAACGGCCGCACTCCTATCTCCCTTTGCTGACTCTCTTTCTGGACTCAGCCCGCCTGCACCCAGGTGAAATAAACAGCCTTGTTGCTCACACAAATCCTGTTTGGTGGTCTCTTCACACGGACGTGAGTGAAATTTGGTGCCATAACTCGAATCAGGGGATCTTCCTTAGGAGATCAATCCCCTGTCCTCCTGCTCTTTGCTCCATGAGAAAGATCCACCTACGACCTCTCGTCCTCAGACCAACCAGCCCAAGGAACATCTCACCAATTTTAAATCCAGTAAGCAGCCTCTTTTTACTCTCTTCTCCAACCTCTCTCACTATCCCTCAACCACTTTCTCCTTTCCACTCTTCAATCTCTCCCTTCTCTTAATTTCAGTTCCTTTCCTTTTCTGGTAGAGACAGGAGACGCGCTTTATTCGTGGACCCAAAACTCCAGCGCCGGTCATGGACTCGGGAAGGCAGCCTTCCCTTGGTGTTTAATCACGCGGGGACACCTCTCTGATTATTCACCCACGTTTCAGAGGTGTCTGACCACATGGGGATGCCTGCCTTGGTCCTTCACCCTTAGTGGCAAGTACTGCTTTTCTGGGGGGGCAAGAACCCCCAACTCCTTCTCTGTGTCTCTACCCCTTCTCTGCTTTTCTGGGGGGGCAAGAACCCCCCAACCCCTTCTCCTTCACCCTTAGTGGCAAGTACCGCTTTTCTAGGGGGCAAGAATCCCCCGATCCCTTATTTCTGTGCCCTGACGTCTTATCTCTGCACCCCGATCCCTTATTTCCACACCCCGACCTCTTGTCTCTGCACCCCAATCCCTTACTTCTGTGCCCTGACCCCTTTCCCGCTTTTCTGGAAGGTAAGAACCCCTGAACCCCTTCCCTCCATGTCTCTACTCTCTCTTTTCTCTGTGCTTGCCTCCTTCAGTATGGGCAACCTTCCACCCTCCATTCCTCCTTCTTCTCCCTTAGCCTGTGTTCTTAAAAACCTAAAACCTCTTCAACTCACACCTGACCTAAAACCTAAATGCCTTATTTTCTTCTGCAATGCTGCTTGACCCCAATACAAACTTGACAGTGGTTCCAAATAGCCAGAAAACGGCACTTTCAATTTTTCCATCCTACAAGATCTAAATAATTCTTGTTGTAAAATGGGCAAACGGTCTGAGGTGCCTGACATCCAGGCATTCTTTTACACATCGGTCCCTCCCTAGTCTCTATGCCCAGTGCAACTCGTCCCAAATCTTCCTTCTTTCCCTCCCGCCTGTCCCGTCAGTCCCAACCCCAAGCATCGCTGAGTCTTTCTAATCTTCCTTTTCTACAGACCCATCTGACATCTCCCCTCCTCGCCAGGCCGAGCTGGGTCCCAATTCTTCCTCAGCCTCCGCTCCTCCACCCTATAATCCTTTTATCACCTCCCCTCCTCACACCCGGTCCAGCTTACAGTTCCATTCCATGACTAGCCCTCCCCCAACTGCCCAGCAATTTCCTCTTAAAAAGGTGGCTGAAGCTAAAGGCATAGTCAAGGTTAATGCTCCTTTTTCTTTATCTGACCTCTCCCAAATCAGATAGTGTTTAGGCTCTTTTTCATCAAATTTAAAAACACAGCCCAGTTCATGGCTCATTTGGCAGCAACCCTGAGACGCTTTACAGCCCTAGACCCTAAGTCAAAAGGCCGTCTTATTCTCAATATACATTTTATTACCAAATCTGCTCCCAACATTAAATAAAGCTCCAAAAATTAAATTCTGTCCCTCAAACCCCACAACAAGACTTAATTAACCTCGCCTTCAAGGTGTACAGTAATAGAGTAGAGGCAGCCAAATAGCAACATATTTCTGAGTTGCAATTCCTTGCCTCCACTCCAGTATCCAGATGAGACAAACCCCAGCCACATCTCCAGCACACGAGAACTCCAAACGCCTGAACCGCAGCTGCCAGGGGTTCCTCCAGAACCTCTTCCCCCAGGAGCTTGCTACAAGTACTGGAAATCTGGCCACTGGGCCAAGGAATGTCCACAGCCTGGGATTCCTCCTAAGCCGCATCCCATCTGTGCGGGACCCCACTGAAAATCGGACTGTTCAACTCACCTGGCAGCCACTCCCAGAGCAGCTAGAACTCTGGCCCAAGGCTCTCTGACTCCTTCCCAGATCTTCTCGGCTTAGCAGCTGAAGACTGACACTGCCCGATCCCGATCGCCTCGGAAGCCTACAGGACCATCACAGACAGTCTAGGTAACTCTCACAGTGGAAGGTAAGCCCGTCCCCTTCTTAATCAATATGGAGGCTACCCACTCCACATTACCTTCTTTTCAAGGGCCTGTTTCTCTTGCCTCCATAACTGTTGTAGGTATTGACAGCTAGGCTTCTAAACCTCTTAAAACTCCCCAACTCTGGTGCCAACTTAGACAATACTCTTTCAAGCACTCCTTTTTAGTTATCCCCACCTGCCCAGTTCCCTTATTAGGCTGAGACACTTTAACTAAATTATCTGCTTCCCTGACTATTCCTGGACTACAGCTATATCTCATTGCTGCCCTTCTTCCCAATCCAAAGCCTCCTTTGTGTCCTCCTCTTGTATCCCCCCACCTTAACCCACAAGTATAGGATACCTCTACTCCCTCCTTGGTGACCAATCATGCACCCCTTACCATCTCATTAAAACCTAATCAACCTTACCCCGCTCAATGCCAATATCCCATCCCACAGCATGCTTTAAAAGGATTAAAGCCTGCTACAGCATGGCCTTTTAAAGCCTATAAACTCCCCTTACAATTCTCCCATTTTACCTGTCCTAAAACCAGACAAGGCTTACACATTAGTTCAGGATCTGCACCTTATCAACCAAATTGTTTTGCCTATCCACCCCGTAGTGCCAAACCCATATACTCTCCTATCCTCAATACCTGCCTCTACAACCCATTATTCTGTTCTGGATCTCAAACATGCTTTCTTTACTGTTCCTTTGCACCCTTCATCCCAGCCTCTCTTCGCTTTCACTTGGACTGACCCTGACACCGATCAAGCTCAGCAAATTACCTAGGCTGTACTGCTGCAAGGCTTCACAGACAGCCCCCATTACTTCAGTCAAGCCCAAATTTCTTCCTCCTCTGTTACCTATCTCGGCATAATTCTCATAAAAACACACGTGCTCTCCCTGCCAATCGTGTCCTAGTGATCTCTCAAACCCCAGCACCTTCTACAAAACAACAACTCCTTTCCTTCCTAGGCATGGTTAGCGTGGTCAGAACTCTTACACAAGAGCCAGGACCGCACCCTGTAGCCTTTCTGTCCAAACAACTTGATCTTACTGTTTTAGCCTAGCCCTCACGTCTGTGAGCAGCGGCTGCCGCTGCTTTAATAGTTTTAGAGGCCCTCAAAATCACAAACTATGCTCAACTCACTCTCTACAGTTCTCATAACTTCCAAAAATCTATTTTCTTCCTCACACCTGACGCATATACTTTCTGCTCCCCGGCTCCTTCAGCTGTACTCACTCTTTGTTGAGTCTCCCACAATTACCATTGTTACTGGCCCATACTTCAATCCGGCCTCCCACATTATTCCGGATACCACACCTGACCCCCATGACTGTATCTCTCTGATCCACCTGACATTCACCCCATTTCCCCACATTTCCTTCTTTCCTATTCCTCACCCTAATCACATTTAGTTTATTGATGGCAGTTCCACCAGGCCTAATCGCCACTCACCAGCAAAGGCAGGCTATGCTATAGTATCTTCCACATCTATCATTGAGGCTACCGCTCTGCCCCCTCCACTACCTCTCAGCAAGCCGAATTAGTTGCCTTAACTCAAGCCCTCACTGATGCAAAAGGACTATGCATCAATATTTATACTGACTCTAAATATGCCTTTCATATTCTGCCCCACCATGCGGTCATATGGGCTGAAAGAGGTTTCCTCACTACACAAGGGTCCTCCATCTTTAATGCCTCCTTAATAAAAACTCTGCTCAAGGCCGCTTTACTCCCAGAGGAAGCTGGAGTCATTCACTGCAAAGGCCATCAAAAGTCATCAGATCCCATTGCTCTAGACAATGCCTATGCTGACAAGGTGGCTAGACAAGCAGCTAGCTTTCCAACTTCTGTCTCTCACATCTATGCTTATGCTGATAAGGTAGCTAGACAAGCAGCTAGCATGCCAATTTCTGTCCCCCACAGCCAGTTTTTCTCCTTCTCATCAGTCACTCCCACCTACTCCCCCACTGAAACTTCCACCCATCAATCTCTTCCCACACAAGGCAAATGGTTCTTAGACCAAGGAAAATACCTCCTTCCAGCCTCACAGGCCCATTCTATTCGGTCGATATTTCATAGCCTCTTCCATGTAGGTTACAAGCTGCTAGCCCATCTCTTAGAACCTCTCATTTCCTTTCCATCCTGGAAATCTATCCTCAAGGAAACCACTTCTCAGTGTTCCATCTGCTATTCTACTACCCCTCAGGGATTGCTCAGGTCCCCTCCCTTCCCTACACATCAGGCTCGGGGATTTGCCCCCGCCTAGGACTGGCAAATTGACTTTACTCACATGCCCTGAGTCAGGAAACTAAAATACCTCTTGGTCTGGGTAGACACTTTCACTGGATGGGTAGAGGCCTTTCCCACAGGGTCTGAGAAGGCCACCGAGGTCATTTCTTCCCTTCTGTCAGACATAATTCCACAGTTTGGCCTTCCCACCTCTATACAGTCTGATAGCAGACCGGCCTTTATTAGTCAAATCAGCCAAGCAGTTTTTCAGGCTCTTGGTATTCAGTGAAACCTTTATATCCCTTACAGTCCTCAGTCTTCAGGAAAAGTAGAACAGACTAATAGTCTTTTAAAAACACACCTCACCAAGCTCAGCCACCAACTTAAAAAAGACTGGACAATACTTTTACCACTTTCTTTTCTCAGAATTCAGGCCTGTCCTCAGAATGCTAAAGGGTACAGCCCATTTGAGCTCCTGTATAGACGCTCCTTTTTATTAAGCCCCAGTCTCATTCCAGACACCAGACCAACTTGGAATGTGCCCCCAAAAACTTGTCATCCCTACTATCTTCTGTCTAGTCATACTCCTATTCACCATTCTCAACTACTCACACATGCCCTGCTCTTGTTTACACTGCTGGTTTACACTGTTTTTCCAAGCCATCACAGCTGATATCTCCTGGTGCTATCCCCAAACCACCACTCTTAACTCTTGAAGTAAATAAATAATCTTTGCTGGCAAGGCTATGCTGAACCTCCTTAGGCACTCTCTAATTAGATGTCCTAGGTCCTCCCAATTCTTAGACCTTTAATACCTGTTTTTCTCCTTTCCTTATTCCATTTAGTTTTTCAATTCATACAAAACTGCATCCAGGCCATCACCAGTAATTCTAAATGAAAAATGTTTCTTCTAACAATCCCACAATATCACCCCTTACCACAAAATCTTCCTTCAGCTTAATCTCTCCCACTCTAGGTTCCCACGCCGCCCCTAATCCCGCTCGAAGCAGCCCTGAGAAACATCGCCCATTCTCTCTCCATACCACCCCCCAAAATTTTCGCCATCCCAACACTTTACCACTATTTCGTTTTATTTTTCTTATTAATATAAGAAGACAGGAATGTCAGGCCTCTGAGCCCAAGCTAAGCCATCATATCCCCTGTGACCTGCACGTACACATCCAGATGGCCGGTTCCTGCCTTAACTGATGACATTCCACCACGAAAGAAATGAAAATGGCCTGTTCCTGCCTTAACTGATGACATTATCTTGTGAAATTCCTTCTTCTGGTTCATCCTGACTCAAAAGCTCCCCTACTGAGCACCTTGTGACCCCCCACTCCTGCCCACCAAAGAACAACCCCCCTTTGACTGTAATTTTCCTTTACCTACCCAAATCCTATAAAACGGCCCCACCCCTATCCCCCTTCGCTGACTCTCTTGTCGGACTCAGCCTGCCTGCACCCAGGTGAAATAAACAGCCTTGTTGCTCACACAGAGCCTGTTTGGTGGTCTCTTCACACGGACGCGCATGAAACAGACCAGCCTAGCCAACATGGTGAAACCCCGTCTCCACGAAAATACAAGAAATTAGCCGGGCGTGGCGGTGCGCACCTGTAGTTCCAGCTACTCGGGAGGCTGAGGCAGGGGAATCACTTGAACCTGGGAGGCGGAGATTGCAGTGAGCCCAGATCACACCAGCGTAGCGACAGAGTGAAACTCTGTCTCAAAAAAAAAAAAAAAAAAAAAAGAAAAAGAAGTTTTCTAAGGCCAGGCGCAGTGGCTCATGCCTGTAATCCAAGCACTTTTGGGAGGCTGAGGCGGGCAGATCACCTGAGGCCGGGAGTTCGAGACCGGCCTGACCAACATGGTGAAACCCTGTCTCTACTAAAAATACAAAAATGAGCTGGGCATGGCGGCGGGTGCCTGTAATCCCAGCTTCTTGGGTGCGGGGGGGATCTGTTCTGCAGATCCCAGCTGTACGACAGATGAGACACGTCCTCAGACACCAATATTCAGTGAAAGAGCAGGCCAGGGGGCTGCCGGCACTAGGAGCCAAAGAGAGTGCAGCCCCTCTAAGCTGGCAACGCTTGCATTTATTTAGCACAGATTTAATTAACAAAGGCTTTGAGTCAACACACCTGTGGGTAATTAACCTGGTCACCGCCCCCCGCCACCTCCCTGGAGAGGGCCATCTTGCCCGAGAATGATCAAAGGTTGATTTTAGGACCATATGACTAAGCAAGCTATTTAGATAAAATACTCCGCATTCCTTTGTATCTGCGCCCTAAGCTGTTTGGCTCCTGAAAAGAGAATCTGGCTGCTTTCAGCCAAACTATCTGAAGCTATGCCAACCTCCCTGGCCTTCCAAGAAGGTTTGCTGCTTCCTATTCCTATAATTTCTTCTGCTACTCTGACTGATCTCCCACACTTGGGAGGTTGAGGCAGGAGAATCCCTTGAACCAGGGAGGCAGAGGTTGCAGTGAGCCGAGATCACACTACTGCACTCCAACTTGGGTGACAAGAGCGAGACTCCATCTCAGAAAAAAAAGTTAAAAAAAAATTGTAGGCCAGGCGTGGTGGCTCACGCCTGTGATCCCAGCACTTTGGGAGGCCAAGGCGGGTGGATCACCTGAGGTCCAGAGTTCGAGACCAGCCTGACCAACATGGAGAAACCCCGTCTCTTCTAAAAATATAAAATTAGCCAGGCGTGGTGGCGCATGCCTGTAATCCCAGCTGCTCTGGAGGCTGAGGCAGGAGAATGGCTTGAGCCCAGGAGGCGGAGGTTGCGGTGAGCCGAGACCGCACCATTGCACTCCAGCCTGGGCAACAAGAGTGAGACTCTGTCTCAGAAAAAAAAAAAAAAAAATTGTAGTAAAAACATAACATACAATTTACCATCTTAGCCATTGTAAGTGTACAGTATAGCAGTGTTAAATGTATTCACGGTGTTTTGAAACAGATCTCCAGAATATTTTCATCTTGTAAAACTGAAACTCTATGCCTAAAAGAGGAATCGTTCAACACATAGAAGTTTTATTTCAACCATTTTTGTTGTTGTTGTTGAGATGGAGTCTTGCTCTGTCACCAAGGCTGGAGTGCGGTGGTACGATCTTGGCTCACTGCAACCTCCGCCTCCTGGGTTCAAGCCATTCTCCTGCCTCAGCCTCCTCAGTAGCTGGTAATGCAGGTGCGTGCCACCACACCTGGCTAATTTTTGTATTTTTAGTAGAGACGGGGTTTTGCCATGTTGGCCAGGCTGGTCTCGAACTCCTGGCCTCGTGATCTGCCTGCCTTAGCCTCCCAAAGTGCTGGGATTTCAGGTGTGAGCCACTGCGCTCAGCCTGGGAAATGTATACTTCAGAGATTGTTGGATTTTCAGGGCCTTCTGTGGCTTGACGTCATCTGGAAAAGTGTGGTCATTGGGAAGATATTACTTTGATTGGTTGTCACTCATGCTTGGGTGTTTACTGAAATGAGTCTGATTGGATGACTTTTAGAAGCAAGGAGCTGCCTGACTGATGGTAACATAACAATATAAAACGTATGGAGTGGCCGGGCTTTGTGGCTCACTCCTGTAATCCCAGCACTTTGAGAGGCTGAGGCAGGCAGATCACCCTGAGGTCAGAAGTTTGTGACCAGCTTGGCCAACATGGCGAAACCCGTCTGTACTAAAAATACAAAAATTATCTGCGTGTGGTGGCAGGTGCCTATAATCCCAGCTACTGGGGAGGCTGAGGCAGGAGAATTGCTGAACCCGGGAAAGAGAGGTTGCAGGGAGCCGAGGTCACGTCACTGCTCCCCAGCCTGGGTGACAGAGCAAGACCCCGTCTCAAAAAAAAAAAAAAAAAAAAAGAGCATCTTCACAGAGATGAGTTGTCATTGATGATGGGTTAAAAATCAGTTTTGGTGGCTACTTGTTACTGTGGTTACAGGACAATAAAATACTTTTCTGAAGAGCTCAGGAACTTTATTATTCTGAAAACGCTTTTTCCAAACAAGGTCCTTCTGTCAGCAAAACGACTTATATGAGTTTAATCTTATCCATCTCTGGGAATCTAGCCCCATTGTGTCTCTGTAATCCAAGTCCTGGACCTGACGTAAAGTCCCTCAACCCCCTTCATCCAAAATTGTGGCACTTTCCCTTTATTTATTTATTTATTATTTATTTGTTTGTTTACTTTTGAGACGGAGTCTCGCTCTGTGGCCCAGGCTGGAGTGTAGTGGCGTGATCTCAGCTCATTGCAAGCCCCGCCTCCCAGGTTCACGCCATTCTCCTGCCTCAGCCCCTGGAGTAGCTGGGACTACAGGCACCTGCCACCACACCTGGTGAAAAAAATCAGAACAAACTGAAGATATGGGCCAGAACTTGTATAAAGTGTGAAAAGCAGTCAATAAAGAAAGTTAGAAATACTTTGCATTTTTTTTTTAATCACAGGACCTGAGTTAAGCCAAGAATACAGTAGAAATTTTATCAAGTAGAGATAAGCTCTCAGTAAAGGATAAAAGTGGGCCTAAGTCCCTTCAGTTTCACTGGAAGTAGGACCCTTACATTTTATAATTATATTTTCATACATAAGCTACTGGACAATGAAGTAAATAGCAATCAGTGAAAGAGCCACATATGACCAACTTAGATTTCCTTGAGTAAAGTCTGTCAAGGGTAAAGCTGTGAAAGTTTATAAGAAAAAAGAATGGGGAATTATTTGGAAGACCATTTGAGTTTTGTACACAAGAATTTAATGTTTGCACACTTGATAATATATGTGAATATCATCAAAACTAAGTGAAAAAATAAATTAATGAGGTGAAACACATGCCTGTATTCCTTGTATGAAAATCCGGTAGAAATAGGGTTTGTGAAATAAATAGGGTAATCCTCCTGTAGGATTATGACTTTCACTCTTATCAATTTGTAGATGAACACAGCAGGAGGCTGAGGTAGGAGGATTGCTTGAGACCAGGAGTTCAAGACCAGCTTAGGCAACATAGGGAGAGCCTCACTTCAACAAAAAAAAATAAAGGAGGGGGGTTATTGAATATATTTGGCATGCTTACCAACCATTTATATTTGGGGAAGACACATTTAAAAATATAAAAAGAAGGCTGGGCGCAGTGGCTCACATCTGTAATCCCAGCACTTTGGGAGGCCGAGGCGGGCAGATCACGAGGTCAGAAGTTTGAGACCAGCTTGGCCAATGTGATGAAACCCCGTCTCTACTAAAAATACTGTAAAAGTAGCTGGGCGTGATGGTGGGAGCCTGCAATCCCAGCTACTTGGGAGGCCGAGGCAGGAGAATCACTTGAACCCAGGAGGCAGAGGTTGCAGTGAGCCGAGATCGTGCCACTGCACTCCAGCCTGGGCAACAGAGTGAGACTCTGTCTCAAATAAAAATAAAAATAAAAATAAATAAAATAAATAAAAAAAGAGAAGAACAATGAAGGAAGAAATTAAACAGGATATAAAAAATCAGAAGACAGATAAGATGGAAAACCATAACTTATGTGCAGAAAGGTGGGTGCAAATCGATCAGTCCTGCATAAGAAAACACCATTTGATTGGTTTGAACATGCATCTGGCCAGGCGTGGTGGCTCATGCCTATAATCTCAGCACTTTGGGAGGCCAAGGTGGGTGGATCACCTGAGGTCAGGAGTTCGAGACCAGCCTGGCCAACACAGTGAAACCCCATCTCTACTAAAAATACAAAAATTAGCTGGGTGCAGTGGTATGTGCCTGTAATTCCAGCTACTTGGGAGGCTGAGGCACAAGAATCACTTGAACCCAAGAGGTTCAATGAGCCGAGATTGCTCCACTGCACTCCAGCCTGGGTGACAGAGCCAGACTCTGTCTCAAAAAAAAAAAAAAGTAGATTCAAGCTTCTTAGTGAGCTTTTCTCTCTTGTGTCCTTCAAGTAGCTTTGTCGGACTCCACAGTCCTGGCTCCTCTCTGCCTTCACCTCCAGGTGTTTACTTGCAGACACTTGGTGTTCGTGCAAAGGTCAATCCTGGCTGACACATCTGTTGGCTCCAGCTCGGTTCAGCCACATCTGCCGAGGCTTCCTTGTTCAGTGCCGTATGGCTGTGCCAATTTTCAACCAGTATGGCCAAGAGAGCCACGAGGACCAGTCCTGCCACGGCCATGCGGATCAAGTTCTGCGTCGTGTAATCTTGGTGGATGGAGTCTGGAGACACAATTCAAGGAGATGAATGGTTGGTGGTTGTGTTCCATTCCATCCCAACCCCAGAGCCCTGAAACGGGAGCTCATTTTCCTTTTCGCTTGCCAAAATGGGACTCCCTCAAGCATCCCCTCAATGAGCTCATGCTTCGCCAGCACCACACTGATCAGTCAGCAAGACTGTGTTCACGGGCAAGGAACTGTGCTTCCCAGGGAAGTGCTATAAACTGGGAAGGAGGTGATTATGGGCAGGTTGTGTGTGTTTTTTTTTTTTTTTTTTTTTGAGATGGAGTCTCACTCTGTTGCCCAGGCTGGAGTGCAGTGGCGTGATCTCGGCTCACTGCAACCTCCGCCTCCCTGGTCAAGTGATTCTCCTGCCTCAGCCTCCCAAGTAGCTGGGATTACAGGCGCCCACCACCACCACGCCTGGTTAATTTTTGTATTTTTAGTGGAGATGGGGTTTCACTATGTTGGCCAGGCTGGTCTCGAACTCCCGACCTCAGGTGATCCACCTGCCTCAGCCTCCCAATGTGCTCAGATTACAGGCGTGAGCCATCGTGCCCAACCATGTTTTTTTTTTTTTTCTTGAGGTGGAGTCTCGTTCTGTCACCCAGGCTGGAGTGCAATGGCGTGATCTTGGCTCACTGCAACAGCTGCCTCCTGGGTTCAAGTGATTCTCCTGCCTCAGCCTCCTGAGTAGCTGGGACGACAGGCTCACGCCACCACGCCCGGCCAGGCAGGTTGTGTTTTCTTTTCATTCTCTCCTCACTTGGTGAATTCACTAAATACCTAATCACATCTCTACAACACCAGAACAAGGTGGAATCCTAATAAGAATGTGTGCAGCCTGGCCAGGCGCGGTGGCTCACGCCTGTAATCCCAGCACTTTGGGAGGCCGAGGCAGGTGGATCACCTGAGGTCGGGAGTTCGAGACCAGCCTGGCCAACATGGTGAAACCCTGTCTGTGTGGTCCCAGCTACTCAGGAGGCTGAGGCAGGAGAATTGCTTGAACCTGGGAGGCGAAGGTTGCAGTGAGTCGAGATCGTGCCACTGCACTCCAGCCTTGGCGAAAGAGCAAGACTCTATCCCGGAAAATAAAATGAAATAAATAAAATGAAACAAACTGAGTTAGCCCTTCTGTTCTCCACAGACTAAGTTTTCAATGAACCCTGTCTGGAGAACTCTAGCGAGGAAGTGAAAGCGGAAAGTGTGGTGGGGAAGCCTTTCTCTCTCCACTGTCCTGGAGTGAGAGCCTTTGCCTCTCTTCACTTCACTCTCAGTGCACGTCTTCATATTCCTGCCCGGTGGCAAGGCCCTGGACAGCCAACCCAGACACAGGGCTGGACTGGGCGGTACCTACCTGTGACCACAAGCTCCAAGGCATTACTGGGGAAGGACCACAGGTAGGGGCTCCTGTTGTACCAACCGTAGCACCTGTAGATCCCTGAGACATTGAGGTCCACAGGACCCAAAGAGAAGTTGGCCGGGTGTTCCCCACTTTGGTGCTGTGGCAGAGAAAGTTCTCCCTCCTTGGCCAGTGAAAATCTATCAAATGGGATGTGTGCTGAGCTGCACGTGAGGGAAATATTCTCTCCTGGCATCAACACCAGACCCCGATCTGCAGAGAGGAAGGGTTTGCCATACAAGCCTAAGAGAGAAAAGAGTGAGCTATTAGAAAGACCTTTTCTCCTTTATTCTTTTCTTCTTCTTATTATTGTTATTATTATATATTTTTTTGAGATGGAGTTTCGCTCTTATTGCCCAAGCTGGAGTGCAGTGGCGTGATCTCAGCTCACTGCAACCTCCGTCTCCCGGGTTCAAGCAATTCTCCTGCCTCAGCCTCCCGAGAAACTGGGATTACAGGTGCGTACCACCACGCCCAGCTAATTTTTGTATTTTTAGTAGAGACGGGGTCTCTCCATGTTGGTCAGGCTGGTCTCGAACTCCTGACCTCAGGTGATTTGCCCACCTTGGCCTCCCAAAGTGCTGGGATTACAGGCATGAGCAACTGTGCCCAGCCTATTATTGTTTTTTGAGATGGAGTCTCACTCTGTCACTGAGGCTGCAGTGCAGTGGCACGATCTCAGCTCACTGCAACCTCCACCTCCGAGGTTCAAGTGAGTCTCCTGCCTCAGCCTCCCGAGTAGCTGGGATTACAGGCACCCGCCACCACGCCCAGCTAATTTTTGTATTTTTAGTAAAGATGAGGTTTCTCCATGTTGGTCAGGCTGGTCTTGAATCCCTGACCTCAGGTGATCCACCTGCCTCAGCCTCCCAAAGTGCTGGGATTACAGGCGTGAACCACAGTGCCCAGCCTCTTTTTTCTTTTTTAGAATTTATTTATTTTAGAGAGGGTCTCACTCTGTCGCCCAGGCTGAGGGCAGTGGCATAATCACGGCTCACTGCAGCCTCGACCTCCCAGGCTCAGGTGATCCTACCATCTCAGCCTCTCAAGTAACTGAGACTACAGGTGGGTGCCACCATGCCCAGCTAATTTTTTGATTTTTTGTACAGATGGGGTCTTACTATGTTGCCCAGGCTGGTCTCCTGGGCTTAAGTGATCTGCCCATCTCGGCTTCTCAAAGTGCTGGGATTACAGGCGTGAGCCACGGCGCCCAGCCTCCCAAAGTGCTGGGATTACAGGCACGAGCCACGGTGTCTGGCCACAGTTACTACTTCAGCCAGGCTTTCAACAACAGCCAGCTCAACATCCACAGTCATGTTCCCATGGACAGTTTAAACCTTTGCTATGAGGAGATGAAATGGCACTTTGCTTCTGTGGTCTTGCCTGCAATGACCCATAACTCAGTCTAGTCATGAGCAAAACATCGGACAATTTCCAGTAGTGGGAGTACCCTTGAAAATAATGGACCACTACCCTCAAAACTGACAAGGTCATGGAAAACCAGCAACATCTGAGAAGCTGTGACAGCCAAGACAAACCTAAAGATACATGACACCTGCCGGGCACGGTGGCTCACGCCTGGAATCCCAGCACTTTGGGAGGCCAGGTGCGGTGGCTCATGCCTGTAATCCCAGCATTTTCGGGGGCCGGGCGTGGTGGCTCACGCCAGTAATCCCAGCACTTTGGGAGGCCAGGCGGGCGGATCACGAGGTCAGAAGATTGAGACCATCCTGGCTAACACAGTGAAACCCTATCTCTACTAAAAATACAAAAAATTAGCCAGGCGTGGTGGCGGGCGCCTGTAGTCCCAGCTACTCGGGAGGCTGAGGCAGGAGAATGGCGTGAACCCGGGAGGTTGGAGCTTGCAGTGAGCCGAGATTGTGCCACTGCACTCCAGCCTGGGCAACACAGCGGGACTCCATCTCAAAAAAAAAAAAAAAAAAAAAAATAAAGATACATGACACCTGAATGCAATGTGAAATCTTTTTGTGTGTGTGTGTGTGAGATGGAGTCTCGCCCTGTCGCCCAGCCTGGAGTGCAGTGGTGTGATCTTGGCTCACTGCAACCTCTGCCTCCTGGGTTCAAGCGATTCTCCTGCCTCAGCCTCCCAAGTAGCTGGGATTACAGGCGTGTGCCACCAGGCCTGGCCAATTTTTTCCATTTTTAGTAGAGACGAGGTTTCACTGTGTTGGCCAGGCTGGTCTCGAACTCCTGACCTCAGGTGATCCACCCACCTCAGCCACCCAAAGTGTTGGGATTACAGGCGTGAGCCACCGCGCCCAGCGATTGTTGCATTTTCAGTAGAGACGGGGAATTCACCATGTTGGCCAGGCTGGTCTCGAACTCCTGACCTTGGGTGATCCACCCGCCTCGGCTTCCCTAAGTGTTGGGATTACAGGCGTGAGCCACCACTCCCAGCCGCAATGTGAAATCTTGAATGGGATCCTGGAACAGAGAAAGACTATCAGGTAAAAACTAAGAAAATGTAAATAAACTGTAGACTGTAGCTGGGAATGTGTCGATATTTGTTCATTAATGGT
Organism: Homo sapiens; assembly: GCF_000001405.40. NCBI lineage: Eukaryota > Metazoa > Chordata > Mammalia > Primates > Hominidae > Homo > Homo sapiens. The sequence continues at coordinate 164,656 of NT_187671.1, read as the reverse complement.
AAGAAATGTGCCATACTAATGTAAGATGTTAACTCTGGGGGAAGTGGGGTGCCAGATGGCTGAGAACTCTCTGAAGCAATCATCAATTTTTTTTTGTTTGTAAATCTAAAACTTCTTGAAAAATACTCTATTAAAAATAAGAAAAAAATCACACCAGGGCTGTGGACCCTGGATGTTTCCTTACCTGTCACTACCAGCTCCAGGGTGTCACTGTACCGGAACCTGTAGTGCCCTATCCTATATTGGCACTGATAGCGCCCTGCCTTGTTTGCGTCCATGTGGTCAATGACGAACTCAGGATCAGTCTCATTCCAAAACTTCAGTCTTCTGCCTATCTCTCGGTACGTGGAGTTTTTTATGATCATCAGCTGGGTCAGGTAAGCTTCACGAATGGCCTGGCACTGGATTTTCACAGATCCATCCAAGGGAATCACAGGACTCGATTTGGCAGATATGAAAGGCATGGGAAAGTCCCCTGGAAGAAAAGAAAGCCCAGACTGAGGTGGCTTGCCATGGGGAAGCCATTCCTTTCCTTCTCTGTGGGAGAAGTAAAAATACATTAGGGTGTGAAGAACCTACCATTCTTTATTTAAAAAAAAATTTAGGCCGGGTGCGGTAGCTCACGCCTGTATTCCCAGCACTTTGGGAGGCCGAGGCGGGTGGATCACAAGGTGACGATATCAAGACCATCCTGGCTAACACGGTGAAACCCCGTGTCTACTGAAAATACAAAAAATTAGCAGGACGTGGTGGCGGGCGCGTGTAGTCCCAGCTACTCGGGAGATTGGGGCAGGAGAATGGCGTGAACCTGGGAGGCAGAGCTTGCAGTGAGCCGAGATCACACCACTGCACTCCAGCCTGGGCAACAGAGTGAGACTTCGTCTCAACAACAACAACAAAAAAATTAAAAAAAGAGAAAAATTTAAATAATTTGTGATGCTGAGGTTTGGAGTACGATTGATCCTGTCACCCAGGTACTGAGCATAGTACCCAATAGGCAGTTTTTCAACCCCCTTTCTTCCCCCCCATCTAGTAGTCTCCAGTGTCTATGGTTGCCATCTTTATTTTTTATTGTTATTATTTTTCGAGACAGAGTCTTGTTTTGTCGCCCAGGCTGCAGTGCAGTGGTGCAATCTCAGCTCCTCCGCCTCCCGGGTTCAAGCAATTCTGCTGCCTCAGCCTTCCGAGTAGCTGGGATTACAGGTGCCCACCACCATGCCTGGATAATTTTTGTATTTTTAGTAGAAACGGGGTTTCACCATGTTGGCCAGGCTGGTCTTGAACTCCTGACTTCAAGTGATCCACCTGCCTCGGCCTCCCAAAGTGCTGGGATTACAAGCGTGAGCCACCGCACCTGGCTGCAACTGGGGTTTTTGCAGAGGCAACACTGAAGCCAGGGGGACCTCCGCAGGCATTGACCCCAGAGCAGTCGGGTGCCGTTACCACAGCCCCCGCAGAGGCCACGGGCATGGTGCGTGGGAGCAGTGAGATGGCTCCACCTGCCGTTACTCCACAAGGCTCAAGGCCAGTTTCCAGCATAGTGGCCCAGCTTCTGCCTGAACTCTGCCCGGGGTCGTGGCTGCATGCTTCCCTGGAAAGCACCCAGATGGTGAAGTGGGTGACTCCACCCACCCCTGCCACTTGCAGCCAGACGGGCCAGGCTTGCTGGGTCTTCCAGCGCTGCAGACCCCCTTCTGCCTGAACTCTGTGGGGTGTGCAGCTCTGTGTTTTTCTTTTCTTTTCTTTTTTTGTTGAGATGAAGTCTCACTCTGTTGCCCAGGCTGGAGTGCAGTGGTGTGATCTTGGCTCACTGCAAGCTCCGCCTCCCGGGTTCACACCATTCTTCTGCCTCAGCCTCCCGAGTAGCTGGGACTACAGGCGCCCGCCACCACGCCTGGCTAATTTTTTTTTGTATTTTTAGTAGAGACGGGGTTTCACCATGTTATCCAGGATGGTCTCAGTCTCCTGACTTCGCAATCTGCCCATCTCGGCCTCCTAAAGTACTGGGATTACACGTGTGAGCCACCATGCCCAGTAGCTCTGTGTTCCCCTGGGAAGCACTGAGATGGCAGATCATGTGGCTCCAATCACCCTTGCTGAGAAGGACTCACCACGTTAGGTGGCGACCAAGCCGTGAGGAGCCCTCATTCTCAGAACGTTCAGAGGGGTGAAACACCTGATTTCATCAGCCTGCAGAGGTGCGGGGTGGTCCTCCCTCCATAGGGCTGGCCGGGGAAGGATACAGCCTGTCTGCCCACCATGCCCTGCCTGAGGGAGCCCCGTGGGCAGAACAATCCTAACAAAGGAAACAGTGGGTGCAGAGCCAGTGACTGTAGGAGGCTCCTCCAAGGCCCAAGAATGGACCAGGCGAGGGAGTCACCCCTCCTCACAACCACAGAGCACTACTGCCGACTTTGTCAAAATACAAGAGTTAGGGGGCCAAGGCAGGCAGATTGCTTGAGCCCAGGAGTTTGAGACCAGCCTGGTAAACATGGTGAAACCCCATCTCTACAAAAAAAAAAAAAAAATTACAAAAATTTTCTCTTTATGGTGCTGCGTGCTTGTAGTCCCAGCTACTCAGGAGGCTGAGGCAGGAGGATCACTTAGCCTGATAGGTAGAGGCTGCAGTGAGCCGAGATTGTGCCACTGTGCTCCAGCCTGGGCGACAGAACAAGACCCTGTGTCAAAAAACGAAACAAAAAACGAAACAAAACTACAAAAGAGCCTTGTGGCTAAGATCCTGTATGCTGGCCAACCCTTTTAAGTGCCACCTACTGGATCACACTTCAAAATACAACACTGAAAAATTTTGCCAGTATACAATGAAGGGAAAAATTCAGCCACAAATAAAGATCCTGTGCAGAGTCCTGGCATCTGAAAACACCCAGAAATGAAGCCAAGCGACTGTACTCAACCGACATCACAGTTAAAGGAACACCAGCCCTCACACAAGAGAAAGAATCAACACCAAGGCCGGGCGCGGTGGCTCACACCTGTAATCCCAGCACTTTGGGAGGCTGAAGTGGGCAGATCACCGGAGGTCAAGAGTTTGAGACCAGCCTGACCAACGTGACAAAACCCGGGCTCTACTAAACATACAAAAATTAGCCGGGCGTGGTGGCACACACCTGTAATCCCAGCTACTCAGGAGGCTGAGACAGGAGAATCGCTTGAACCCGGGAGGTGAAGGTTGCAGCAGTGAGCTGAGATCGTGCCACTGCACTCCAGCCTGGGCGACAGAGTAAGACTCTGCCACAAAAAAGAAAAAAAAAAGAAAAAAAAAAAAGAATCAACACAAGAACTCTGGCAACTCGATAGTTCCCCAGAAATCTGGTTCTTAGCTACATTGAGATGAATGAAACGAGGGTTATAGAATTCAGAATCTGGATGGCCAGGACGCTCTTCGAAATTGAGGAGAAATTTGAAACACAATCCAAGGGGTCCATGGTGGGGACACACTGGCTTTTTGAGTTCCCAGAATTCTTTTTCATGTGTGGGGGCCCGGTCATTATGCCACAGCCATCAGACAGAGAGGAGTCCAGTCTCTCTTCCCCGTGAGCTCCCACCCCCACTTTACCAGGCAGAGCCCCCAGCTCGGGAGTGCAGAGCAGCTGCCCCGCCCTCAGCACACTCACTGGTGGTGGCTCGTGTTTCCCTGGGGAGTGGCTCCCAGAGGCAACTGACAGCCCCTCTGCCACTGCCATGGCAAGGGTTCTGCCTCTGCTGCCCGTGATCTGGGGAAGAAGCAAGGAGCCTGGGGCCTTCATTCATGCTTCAATTTATTTATTTATTTATTTATTTATTTATTTATTTATTTATTTATTTATTTGAGACGGAGTCTCGCTCTGTCGCCCACGCTGCAGTGCAGTGGCCCGATCTCGGCTCACTGCAAGCTGCGCCTCCCGGGTTCACACCATTCTCCTGCCTCAGCCTCATCCTCCTCCCGAGTAGCTGGGACTACAGGCGCCCGCCACCACGCCCGGCTCATTTTTTGTGTTTTCAGTAGAGACGGGGTTTCACCAGATTAGCCAGGATGGTCTCGATCTCCCGACCTCGTGATCCGCCCGCCTCGGCCTCCCAAAGTGCTGGGATTCCGGGCGTGAGTCCACCGCGCCCGGCCTTCATTCATGCTTCCAGCACACCGCAGTCGCCATACGGAGAGGAGCTCAGTCTCCTCTCCCTGTGAGCCCTCAACCCCCTGCTCTTCAACAAGCCCCAGCTTGATTCCGCGGCACAACAGCCCCACCCTCTGGCGGAGCGTTCCCAGCAGCTGTGAGTCTGCGTTTCTCTGTGGCGGAGCTCCCAGAGGCAACGGAAGGTCACTCTGCCGCTGCCACTGCGGTGGTACTGGCCTTGCTGCCCTCAGACTGGGGAAGGAGCAAAGACTCTGAGTGCTTCAACCACACCTCCGGCAAACTGCCCTAAGGAGAAGAGGCCAGTCTGTCACCCCTGTGACCCACCTGTCCCCCCTGCTCATCACTAGGCAGGGCCCCTAGCTTGGACCCACAGTGCAGTCGCCTCACTCTTGGCTCATCGCACTGATAGTGGCTCCACATCTCTCTGGGGTGGAGTTCCAAGGGACAAGTGAAAGGCCGTCTGCCACAACCGCTGCTAAGGTCCCTTCCCCTGCTGCCCCCAAGCCACGGAGGGAACATAAAGTCTGAGCTCACCCCAGAGCTGTGATGTGCAGCCTGGGAGTGCCGAGCCCAGATCTGCAGCCAGCACTTGGGTGGGAGAGGAGCCCGCACTTTCAGAGCGTGAGAGGGAGCACAGCGGCAATCATGAGGAATGACCTACTGGCCGTTGTGCTGAAGCATCATTTACCGGATTGCAGCCCAAACTTCAACACCAAAAATGCTCGCTAATATACCTCCCTGTGAAACCAAGGACAAGAATTTAGCTATAAATAAAGACCCTGTGCGAAGCCCCAGCCCTCTGAAACCATCCAGAAAAGAAGTCTACTGACTGTGCTCAAATTACATCACGGTTAAAAGAAAAAAGAAAAAAATTCAAATTGCAGCACACTCAAAGGAACATTAGCCCACATGGATGAGAAAGAACTGAGCAAGAACTCCATCAACTCAAAAAGCAACAGTGTCTTCCTTCCTCCAAATTACCACACAAGCTTCCCAGCAAGGGCTCTTTACCTGGCTGAAATGACAGAAATAGAATTCAGAATATGGATAGAAATTAAGGTCATCAAGATTCAGGAGAAAGTTGAAACCCAATGCAAGGAACCTAAAGATTACAATAAAATGACAGAGGGGCTAATCTATGAGATGGTCATTTTGAAAGAACCAAACGGATCTGATGGAGCTGAAAAACACACTACGAGATTTCATAATGCGATCACAAGTATTAATGGCAAAATAAAGCAAAATAAGGAAAGAATCTCAGAGCATGAATACTGGCTCTCTGAACTAATTCAGTCAGACAAAAATGAAGAAAAAGAATAAAAATTAATGAACAAAACCTCTAAGAAATATGGGATCATGAAAAGAGACCAAATAGCCCATTGGCATCCCCGAAAGAGATGGGGAGAAAGCAAGGAACATGGAAAACATATTTCAGTGTATTGTTCATGAAAACTTCCCCAACGTCACTAGAGAGGCCAAGAATCAAATGCAGGAAACAGAGAACCCCTGCAAAATACTACACAAGAAGAGCATCCCCAAGACACAAAATCATCAGATTCTTCAAGGTAGAAATGAAAGAAAGAAATGTCGGCCGGGCGCGGTGGCTCACGCCTGTAATCCCAGCACTTTGGGAGACCAAGGCGGGCGGATCACGAGGTCAGGAGATTGAGACCATCCTGGCTAACATGGTGAAACCCCATCTCTACTAAAAAAATATAAAAAATTAGCTGGGCGTGGTGGTGGGCACCTGTAGTCCCAGCTACTGGGGAGGCTGAGGCAGGAGAATGGCGTGAATCCGGGAGGCGGAGCTTGCAGTGAGCCGAGATCACGCCATTGCACTCCAGCCTGGCAGCCTGGGCAACAGAGCAAGACTCAGTCTCAAAAAAAAAAAAAAAAATGTGAAAAGGCAGCAAAAAAGAAGGGGCAGGTCACCTACAAAGGGAATGCCATCGAGCTAACAGCAGACCTTTCAGCAGAAACTCTACAATCCAGAAGAGATTGGGGGCCTATATTTAATGTTCTTATGAAAAGAATTTCCAACCAAGAATCTCATTCCCAGCCAAACTAAGTTTCATAAGTGAAGGAGAAATAAGATCCTTTACAGACAAGCAAATGCTGAGGGAATTTATTACCATCAGGCCTGCCTTACAAGAGGTCCTAAGAGGAACGCTAAATATGGAAAGAAAAGACCATCACCAGCCAATAGAAAACACACTTACGTACATAAACCAGTGACACTATAAAACAACCACACAAACAAGTCTGCATAATAACCAAACCAGCTAACAACATGATGACAGGAAAAAATCTGCACATGTAAATGCTAACTTTGAATGTAAATGGACTAATTGTCCTAATTAAAATGCAGAGAGTGGCAAGTTGGATAAAGAAGCAAGAGGCCAGGTGCAGTGGCTCACGCCTGTAACCCTGGCACTTTGGGAGGCTGAGGTGGGTGGATCATTTGAGGTCAGGAGTTCGACATTAGCCTGGCCAATGTGATGAAATCCCATCTCTAATAAAAAAAAAAAATAGCTGGGCGTGGTGGTACACACCTGTAATCCCAGCTATTTGGGAGGCTGAGGCAGGAGAATCATTTGAACCTGGGAGGCAGAAGTTGCAGTGAGTCAAGATCATACCACTGCACTCCAGCCTGGGTGACAGAGTGAGACTCCATCTCAAAAAAAAAAAAAAAAAAAAAAGCAAGACTCAACATTATGCTGCCTATAAGAAACCCATCTCATATGCAATGACATCCATAGGCTCAAAGTAAAGAAATGGAGAAAAATCTACCAAGCAAATGGAAAGCCAAAAAAAAAAAAAAATGCAGGAGCTGCTATTAAAATTTCAGACAAAACAGACTTTATACCAACAAAGATCAAAAAAGGCAAAGAAGGGCATTAAATCATGGTAAAGGGTTCAATTCAACATGAAGACCATAGCAGGACAGTGGCCACGGAAGTCGGAATCTGCTAAGGAGTGTGTAATAGCCCAACTGCTGAATCAAAAAGAAAAAGAAAAAAAAAATTAAAAAAAGAGCATGAAGACCTAACTATCCTAAATATATATGCACCTAACATGGAAGCACCCGGATTCATAAAGCGTGTTCTGAGAGACCAACGAAGAGACTTAGACAACCACACAATAATAGGGGGAGACTTTAACATCCCGCCGACAGTATTAGATCATTGAGGCAAACAGAGATATTCAGGACCTGAACTCAGCAGTGGATCAAATGGACCTGACAGACATCTACAGAACTCTCCACCCCCAAAACAACAGAATCTACATTGTTTTCATTGCCTCATGGCACATACTCTAAAGTCAATCATACAATCAGACATACAGCAATCCTTAGCAGGCTGGGCACGGTGGCTCACACCTGTAATCCCAGCACTTTGGGAAGCCAAGGCTGGCGGATCATGAGGTCAGGAGATCGAGACCATCCTGGCTAACGCAGTGAAACCCCGTCTTTACTAAAAATACAAAAAAAATTAGCCGGGCGGGGTGGCGGGCACCTGTAGTCTCAGCTACTCAGGAGGCTGAGGCAGGAGAATGGTGTGAACCTGGGAGGCGGAGCTTGCAGTGAGCCTAGATTGCGCCACTGCACTCCAGCCTGGGCGACAGAGCAAGACTCCATTTCAAAAAAAAAAAAAACAATCCTTAGCAAATCCAGAAAAGCGAAATCAGAGCACAGTGGAATAAAAATAGGAATAAATACTAAGAAAACCACTCAAAACTGTACAATGCATGGAAATTAAGCAGTCTGTTCTGGAATTTTTGGGTAAATATAGCAGAATCTCTGGGACACAGCTAAGGCAGTGTTAAGGGGGAAGTTTATAGCACTAAACTCCCACTTCAAAAAGCTAGAAAAAGTTCAAATTAACAACCTAACATCATAACAAGAGGAACTAAGAGAACCAAGAGGAAATCAACCCCAAAGCTCATAGGAAACAAGAAATAACCAAAATCAGAGCTGAGCTGAAGGAGATTGAGACACGAAAAAGCATTCAGAAGATCAGCAAATCGAGGAGTAGAATTTTTGAAAAAATTAGTAAGACAGATGACTAGTTAGACTAATAAAGAAGAAAAGAGAGATGATCCGGATAAACACAATTAGAAACAACAAAGGGTATATTACCACTCACCCCACAGAAATACAATCATCAGAGAATATTATGAACACCTCTATGCACACAAACTAGAAAATCCAGAATAAATGGAGAAATTCCTGGACACATACACCCTCCTGAGATCAAACCAAGAATAAATTGAATACATGAACAGACCAATAATGAGCTCCAAAATTGAATCAGTAATAAAAATCCTACAGACCAGAAAAAGCCCAGTACCAGACAGACTCACAGCTGAATCCCATCTGATATATAAAGAAGAGCTGGTACTATACCTACTGAAACGTTCCAAAAATATTCAGGAGGAGGAATGCCTCCCCAGCTCATTCTATGAGACCAGCATCATCTTGATGCAAAAACATGGCAGAGACACAACAAAACCAGAAAACTTCAGGACAATATCCTTGTTGAACATAAATGCAAAAATCCTCAACAAAATACTAGCAAACTATCCAGCAGCACATCAGAAAGCTAATCCACCACCATCAGGTAGGCTTTATTTCTGGGATGCAAGGTTGATTCGATATAGGAGTCTCGCTCTGTTGCCCAGGCTGGAGTGTAGTGGCGTGAACTTGGCTCACTGCAAGCTCCGCCTCCTGGATTCACGCCATTCTCCTGCCTGAGCCTCCCGAGCAGCTGGGACTACAGGTGCCCACCACCACGCCTGGCTAATTTTTTTGTGTTTTTTAGTATAGACGAGGTTTCACCGTGTTAGCCAGGATGGTGTCGATCTCCTGACCTCATGATCCACAAGCCTTGGCTTCCCAAAGTGCTGGGATTACAGGCATGAGCCACAGTGCCCGGCCAATATACACAAATCTTAAATATGATTCATCACATAAATAGAACAACCCTCCCCACACACATAATCCTCTCAATAGAGCTTTTGATAAAATTCAACATCCCTTTATGCTAAAAAACCTCGACAAACTAGGCATTGAAGAAACATATTTCAAAATAATAAGAATGATGTATGACAAACTCACAGTCAACATCATATTGAATGGGCAAAAGCTGGAAGTATTCCCCTTGAAAACTGGCAAAAGACATGGATGCCGTCTCTCACTACTTCTGTTCAACATAGTACTGGAGGTCCTAGCTAGAGCAATCAGGCAAGAGAGAAATAAAAGGCATCCAAATAGGAAGAAAGGAAGTCAAACTATCCCTGTTTGCAGGTGATATGATTCTATACCTAGAAAACCACAGTCTCTGCCCAAACACTTCTTAATCTGATAAACAACTTTAGCAAAGTTCCAGGATACAAAATCAATATATAAAAATCAGTAGCATTCCTATACACCAAAAACATCTAAGCTGAGAGCCAAATCAAGAATAGAATCCATTCACAATTACTGCAAAAAGAATAAAATACCTGGGAATACAGCTAACCAGGGAGGTGAAAGATCTCTGCAAGGAGAACTACAAAACACTGGTCAAAGAAATCATAGATGACACAAACAAATGGAAAAACATTCCATGCTCATGGATAGGAAGAATGAGTATTGTTCAACACACAAATAATTCAGGCTTTAGAAGGAGCTGGAAGAGAGAAGACATGGATGGACGTGGGGCTCACACCCATTAGGAGGCTAAGGCAGTAGTAGTTGGGGTGGCAGAATATTCAGTAGTACACTAAGACTGCCTCATGCTTAGTACTGCAGTAGTACTACAGAATGCTAGAGTGTTCAGTAGGGTTAGACTATGGCAGCATCCTTTTAAATGAAGTGACGGGAGGAAGTGGGTTGCTAAAACAAAATAGAATCAGCATAAGGAAGGATATTGGGCAGATGACTCCTGACTTCCTCATTCTTGCAGTTTGAGCATTCAGTAAATTACAGATCCTTCATGGACAGTCTAACACAGGCAAGGACTAACTATAAATCCAGGCCTGAGCATTAATGAGTCTGAAGGGTTTGGAGATAACAAAGTGAGATAGAAATTATGCAAGAGAAGCACAGCAGAAACAACTAGAATGGGGATTAAAATAAGAATGGTGCTTCAGGCTATTCTTCAATTTCTTTATCCTAGAGCTCCCAAGAGGGTCTAAAGGGGCTGGGAGAGATTTACAGGACACTTACCTTCCTGTGCCTGAATCCTCTGGCCCAGACAGAGCACTGGAAGAGAGAGATTTATGAAAAATCAAGCTTCCATTTCCAACCTTTACGACAAATCACCCTCTGTAATGACAGACCAGAAAAAGACCAGTACCAGATGGATTCACAGCTCAATCCCACCAGATATATAAAGAAGAGCTGGCATTTTTTTTTTTTTTTGAGACAGAGTCTCGCTGTGTCGCCCAAGCTGGAGTGCAGTGGCATGATCTTGGCTCACTGCAAGCTCTGCCTCCCAGGTTCATGCCATTCTCCTGCCTCAGCCGCACGAGTAGCTGGGACTACAGGCGCCCGCCACCACGCCTGGCTAATTTTTTTGTATTTTTAGTAGAGACAGGGTTTCACCATGTTGGCCAGGATGGTTTTGATCTCCTGACCTTGTGATCCGCCTGCCTTGGCCTCCCAAAGTGCTGGGATTGCAGGTGTGAGCCACTGCGCCCGGCCAAGAAGAGCTAGTATTATTCCTACTGAAACTATTGAAAAAAATCCTGGAGGAGGGACTCCTCCCCAACTCATTCTATGAGGCCAACATTATCCTGATAACAAAATGTGGCAGAGATACAACAAAAACAGAAAACTTCTGGATAATATCTTTGTTGAACATAAATGCAAAAATCTTCAACAAAATACTAGTAACCATATTTCTATATGGGGTTCTATCATATGTTTTCCTTCCACAACAATCACAGTTTTGAGGTTCATTCTTTATTTTTACCTTTCAGATTCCAGCCTCTAAGTCTCTCCTTGATAAGAACCTTGGGACCATCATGAATCCCAGATAACACACTATAGGTTTAATACAAATATTAAACCTTGAGCCCCACAAGCTAGCTTGGGCTTGGGTAGAGACAAAGTTATAGATACATTGACAAAGACGGCCTTTCCACTAAGGAGATCAGAATCTCCTTGGCAGCCACTAAAATCTCCTAGTCACACTGTTAAGAGACACCCTGATTATTTTGGGATTTCTCTATCTTCCCCTCTAACCCACTTTTACTCTGAAACTCACCAAGACACAGGAGGGTGGTCTGTTTGGGGTCCATCGTGCTGACACGGCCTCAGCCCCGTTGCTCTCCTTTCAATGCACATTAGCAGGATGACAGATATTCTTACGACAATAAGCTCCGCAGGAAGTATGAGGACAGAGCCCCTCGTCAGGGAATTTCCACATCTATTGCCTCACAACAAAGTGGAACAGTTCGTTGCCGAATAACTTAGTTCCAGGTTGCTCTTGGGTGGAGCCCAAGAGAAGACATATATATGTATATTTTTTTAAATAGAGATGGGGTCTTTCTATGTTGGCCAGGGTAGTCTCTAACTTCTGGCATCAAGAAATCCTCCTGCCTAAGACCTATATTTCTATTTATGTTTCAGATGAGAAACGAATGAGAAGTGAATTTTCATTAAGCCAGTGTCTAATGGTGTTCAAATTCATCTTTGAACCAGATGCTACATCCAAATAGACGGGCTTGGGACAGAATATAAGGTGGTGGATACCATACAGGCAGACATTGCCTTCACTGGGCCATTAGTCAAAAGCTCTGTGGCTTTGTCTGTTCTGAACCTATGTTTCATCTCTGAGATTCATGGTCTGAGTATATTTACTTGGACTTGACCAGGCATGCAGTATACCCTTATCCTGGAGATGATCTCAATGCCAGAGTGTGGAGGCATTTTCTCTGGCACTATTTGTCATCTCTAAAGAAAGAATCTACTATTTTATTATACTTTTTTGTTTATTTGTATAAATTTAAGGAGCGCAAGTGAAATTTTATTACGTGGATATTTTGTGTAGTGGTGAAGTCTGGGCTTTTAATATAATTATCCTCAAATAATGTACATTGTTGCTCATTGAGTATTTTTTTAACTTTTATTTTAGGTTCAAGGGTACATGGGAAGGTTTGTTATACAGGTAAACTTGTGTCATGGGGGTTTGTTGTACAGATTATTTCATCACCTAGGTAATAAGCTTGGTACCTAATAGTTACTTTGCCTGCTCCTTTCCCGCCTCCCACCCTCCACCCTAAAGGAGACCCCATTGTCTGTTTTTCCCTTTTTTGTGTTCATGAGTTCTATTATTTAGCTTCCACTTATAAGTGAGAACCTGCTGTATTTGGTGTTCTGTTCTTGTATAGTTTGCTAAGGATAATGGCCTCCAGCTCCATCCATGTTTCCACAAAACATATGAACTCATTCTTTTTTTATGGCTTCAAATTAATTTTATTTTTATCTTATTATTTATGTTATTTTGATTGTAGACTCCTGGCTATCACGAATTCTTCAGGTATGGAGAGTGAAATATTCCTAATTAAACCTTCTACTATTTTATTTTATTTTATTTATTCTTTTTTTTTTTTTGAGACGGAGTCTTGCTCTGTCGCCCAGGCTGGAGTGCAGTGGCGTGATCTCAGCTCACTGCAAGCTCCACTTCCTGGGTTCATGCTATTCTCCTGCCTCAGCCTCCCGAGTAGCTGGGACTACAGGCATCCGCCACCACGCCCGGCTAATTTTTTTTGTATTTTCAGTAGAAACGGGGTTTCACCGTGTTAGCCAGGATGGTCTCGATCTCCTGACCTCGTGATCCACCCACTTCGGTCCCCCAAAGTGCTGGGATTACAGGCGTGAGCCACCGCGCCCCACTTTATTTTCATTTTAATACATCATAACTTAGCCCTTCCAACGCCGAAGTATTTTGAAGTCCTGAGCTTGTCCCATATTTCAGAAAGCCGATCAGCTTCCATGTTGACTGTTTCATTTGTGCAAATTTAAGTGACCTTTTGTTTTGCCACATTTTGTTAATTTCCACATACATATTTACGTTCGGGAAATTTGGAAATACTACGTTCTGGAAATTTGGTGTTGATGATTGCATGAAATTGACCGCATTCTAATTTTCTTTTTTTGTTGTTTTGTTACTTATGCCTTATTTATTCATTCCTTTGTTCTCACTTGAATGGGACTTTGGGTGAAAGACAAATAATGGCTGTACTCTTAGTTGAGTATTTAAAATGCAGAGATTGTAAAGGCAGGATGACCTAATTAAAAATACTATTGTTGGCTGGGTGCAGTAGCTCATGCCTGTAATCCCAGCACTTTGGGAGGCCAAGGCAGGTGAATCACTTGAGTTCAGGAATTTAAGACCAGCCTGGTCAATGTGGTGAAACCCAGTCTCTACTAAAAATATAAAAAATTACTTGGGTGTGGTGGCGGGTGCCTGTAATTCCAGCTACTCGGAAGGCTGAGGCAGGAGAGCCACTTGAACCCAGGAGGCAGAGGTTGCAGTGAGCCAAGATCACTGCACTCCAGCCTGGGCAACACAGAGCGAGACTGTGTCTCAAAAAAACAAAAGCTATTGTTATGGTTTACAAATGACGTGGCTTTCTATTGGGAGAGAGATACTTACTAATTGTTGAATTTCAGGAACTTCAGTGGCCAATATTTACTAATGGGCTGGAACAGATTTTGTCAACTTACCACAACATTTGGTGTGGTTTTGTTCTTTTGTTTCCTCCTTTTGTGGAACAGGAATGGTAACGTAGCCATGGGGTGCTGAGATATTTGGTTAAACATTATTCTGTGTGTGTCTGTGGGGGTGTTGCTGAATGAGATTATCAATGGAATTAGTGTAATTTATAAAGCAGATTGCTCTCCCTAATGTGAGTCGGCCTCATTCAATCAGGTGGGACCTGAATAGAACAAAACATTGAACTGGTAATGTAAGATGAAGTTCCTTTTGCCTGGACATCAGTCTTTTCTGGCTCTTGAACTCTCACTAAAACATTGACTCTTTAGATGTTAAGCCTGCCAGCTTTTTTTGTTTGTTTGTTTTTTTGAGATAGAGTCTCACTCTGTCACCCAGGCTGGAGTGCTGTGGCATGATCTCGGCTCACTGCAACCTTCACCTCTTGGGTTCAAGCAATTCTCGTACCTCAGCCTCTGAGTAGCTGGGATTACAAGCGAATGCCACTATGCCCGGCTAATTTTTGTATTTTTAGTAAAGATGGGGTTTCACCATGTTGGCCGGGCTGGTCTTGAACTCTGACCTCAGGTGATCTGCCTGCCTTGGTCTCCCAAAGTGTTGGGATTACAGGCGTGAGCCATCATGCCCGGCATGAGCCTGCTAGCTTTTGGACTGTTACGTATACCACTAACTCTACTGGTTCTCAGACTTTTGCACGTAGACTGGAACTACACGTGGACTCCCCTGGGTCTCCAGCTTGCAGATGGCAGATCATGGGACCTGTCAGTCTACATAGTTGCATAAGCCAATATATAAATACCCTATCTGTGTATCAATCATTATATATCTGTCATTATCCAACTATATGTCTATCATTATTTGTGATATCATTATATATCTATCATTATTTGTCTATCAATCATTATCTATATATCTATCATTATTAGTGTTGATTATTTTTTTTTCTGGAGAACCCTGACTACTATAGCTTCCATGTTCCTGTCTCAACTGTCACCAGTCCCCTTAGCACAGGGCCTATCATAGCCATTCTACGGCCCAAGGAATTACAAGCCACATAACTACAGGAGTCACAGTGACCCAAGGATTTAGACGGAGACACGGAAGAATTGAGGCATCTATTGGTCTCTGCATATTTTGGGATTTGGGATTTCCCAGCAGGGAAATTTGCCTTGAATCTGTCTAACTGGTCACTAAGAGTTGATTGGTAGGTTCCATTCTCCGTGCACAGCATAAACCCTAATAAGCCCAAACTGACTGGCAGTGGAGACTCTCAACCCTCAATGGGACCAAACTGTGACTGGCAGTGGAGACTCTCAACCCTCAATGGGACCAAACTGTGACTGGCAGTGGGGACCTTCAACCCTCAGTGGGACCGAACTGTGACTGGCAGTGGGGACCTTCAACTCTCAGTGGGACTTTACAGCACTCAGCTGCACCTGTGTGGAGAATTTGTCTCAAACACCTAAGAAGGAAGGAGGCCTTTGTTTCGAGGAAGAAGAAGGGGAGCTGCTTCTCTATCCACTGACCTCAGAGGTACCGGAGAGTGTCCAGTGAGGGCCTTAACTCTCTGCAGTATTTTTTTTTTTTTTGAGATGGAGTCTCACCCTGTCGCCCAGGCTGGAGTGCAATGGCAGGATCTCGGCTCACTGCAACCTCTGCCTCCCCAGTTCAAACGATTCTCCTGTCTCAGCCTCCTGAGTATCTCAGATTTACAGGCACCTGCCACCATGCCCAGCTATTTTTTGTATTTTTAGTAGAGACAGAGTTTCACCATGTTGGCCAGGCTGATCTCGAACTCCTGACCTCGTGATCTGCCCACCTCCGCCTCCCAAAGTGCTGGGATTATAGGCGTGAGCCACTGCACCCAGCCACTCTCTGCAGTTTTAAAGGCCATTTCCATGAATTAGAGTATACTTAGGCACTGAGGTAAGCATGGCACAGCTTTCTGAAAATAAAGTTGAAACTTAGAGGTTTCTTTTAGCTTTATTGAGATATGATTGACAAATGGAAATTGTATATATTTAAGGTGTATTACACTTGATGTTTTGATGTATGTATACATGGTGACATGATCATCATAGTCAAGCTAGTTATATCCATCATCTCGCAGGGTTATTGTTTTTTTTTTTTTTTTTTTTTTGAGAGGAAGTCTTACTCTGTCCCCCAGGCTAGAGTGCAGTGGTGCCATCTTGGCTCACTGCAACCTCCGCTCCCAGGTTCCAGCAATTCTCGTGCCTCAGCCTCCTGAGTAGCTGGGATTACAGGCTTGTGTCACCACGCCTGGCTAATGTTTGCATTTTTAGTAGAGACAGGGTTTCACCATGTTGGCCATGCTGGTCTTGAACTCCTGACCTCAAGTGATCTGCCCGTCTTGGCCTCCCAAAGTGCTGGGATTACAGGCGTGAGCCACCGCGCCCGGCCTATGGTTTCTTTTTCTTTCTTTCTTTTTTTTTTTTTTGTGGTGAGGACCCTTAAGATCTACTCTCCCAGCCGGGCGTGGTGGCTCATGCCTGTAATCCCAGTACTTTGGGAGGCCGAGGCAGGCGGATCACGAGGTCAGGAGATCGAGACCATCCTGGCTAACACAGTGAAACCCCGTCTCTACTAAAAATACAAAAAATTAGCAGGGCGTGGTGGCGGGCGCCTGTAGTCCCAGCTACTCGGGAGGCTGAGGCAGGAGAATGGCGTGAACCCAGGAGGCGGAGCTTGCGGTGAGCCGAGATCGCGCCACTGCACTCCAGCCTGGGTGACAGAGCAAGACTCCAGCTCAAAAAAAAAAAAAAAAAAAAAAAAAATCTACTCTCCCATGCTTGCCTCGGCAGCACATATACTAAAATTGGAACGATACAGAGAAAACTAGCATGGCCCCTGCGCAAGAATGACACGCAAATTCGTGAAGTGTTCCATATTTAAAAAAAAAAATCTACTTTCCTGGTAAATTTCAAGTATAGAGTACAGTATTGTCAACCATAGTGGCAAAGCTGTACAAGAGATCTTCAGACCCATTCCTCCTGAATACCTGATAGTTTGTATCCTTTGATCAACATCTCCCAATTCCCTCCCCCACACTGTCCCTGTAGTTCTAGTGAGTTTCCCAGACTCTGATGTCTCAATTTCATTCAGTCACTTTCCTCCAGATACATCTACCCATTCCTACTGCATCTTAGTATCCTGAGCCTTGGGGGCAGTTTCTGTGCCAAGTGGAAATGTGGAAATGAGATATTACGAAGAAAAATCTTTGCCCACCTAGACAGGGATCTGATGTTTTCCAAGATGACACATGATTACATGTTGAAATGATAATATTTTGAGTCTACTTGTATAATAAAATAATATTTTGGATCTATTAGGTTAATATTTTGGGTCTGTTGGGTTAATAATATTTTGGGTCCATTGGGTTAACTTAAATTAATTTTATCTGTTTCTTGTTAGCTTTTTAATTTGGATACTAGCAAGTTTGAAAGAATGCATGTGGTTTGCATTATGTTTCTATAGGACAGAACTTACCTGTAGATGTAAGGGAGTCACAACAAAATTACAAGCATTGTTTTTGGTGGAAATGAGAAAAATGATTACAAATTTACATGGAAAAGCAAATAGCCAATAATAATAATAATGGCAATCTTAAAGAGGAAGGAGAAATTAGAGGATTCAGGCTGCCAAATTTTAAGGGGTTCTATAAGGCCACATAAAGTGCAGCATCCTCATGAGAGTGGACACAGAGAGCCACTGAGCAGAAAAGAGTGTGTAAAATACATCTGTGTACACACAGTCCTTTTATAGTTGACAGAGGCTGCCATGCGGATTAAGGTGGAATAGAATGTCTTCTCAGTAAATAACATTGGACCAGAGGGTTACAAGCAGGAAAAAATAAATCTAAGCTTATTTTCACACCATAAAAACACTGCTAATTTTTTATCTTATTATCATACATTTTGATGATTTATTTATAAAATTGATGAATGAAAATTATATACAGTTGTCCTTCACTATTCATGGGTGATTGGTTCCAGGAAACCCCCCTCCCTACCAGACACCAAAATCTGCAGATGCTCAAGCCTGTTGCATGAAATGGCACAGCGTTTGCATATAACCCATGCACATCCTCCTGTATACATGAAATCATCTCTAGATTACTTATAATTCCTGATACAGCCTACACACCACCTCACTTGTGTCCACACAATATAGTATTTTTGCTTTTTGGAACTTTGTGGATTTTTTCTCTGAATATTTTTGATTTATATTTGGTTCAATAAACACCTGTAAACCCCACAGATATGGAGGAGCGACTGTATATTTATAGTATGAAAGATGATGTGTTGACATGTGTCCCTGTGGAGATGAGACTAACAAGGCCTATGACTCTACAAATGTTTCATCTTGGAATGACTCTGCCAGCTTTCCAGGTCTGCAGAGAGTAAGAATATCACTTGTTCATGTGATTCACGATCCTTGGAACCTCCTATGTGCTGCATCTTTGGATGGAAATTGGAGTCCCAGAGACAAATGAGGCTCCACCCTGCTTCCAGAAGCTCAGAGTCCAGGGCTGAGAACCCAGTAGAGAACATATCAGGTTATATGGACATAGTAATGATAACACTGGAAACTTTTGGCGAATAAAGAGTCACATTATCGAAACCATGAGGGCAGACATGTTTATTTGAAGAGGAGAGAGCTACACTGAAGTTATAAAAAAAATTTATAAATTTTACTGATGACAGAAGGCTGAAAGATAGTCTGAGGGGAGGTGGAACAGCATGAGGGAAGGTGGAACAGCAAGTGTGTAAGTGCCGTGTTAAGAGGGAGCCTCTTGTATGTTTGGAATTGTGAGTTCCTCAGTGTGATTGCAGCCTCAAGTAGGACTAGGAAGTAAGCCAGTTAGGTTGGAGAGGTGGGCAGGGGTCAAGTGAAATAGATACTTGTGGGCTAAGCAAAGGAGTGTGTTTTCTCTGCAGCAGGCAGTGGCGACCTTAGGCATTTGTAAGCAAGAGAGAGGCATGTTCAGATTCGTGGTGTGAGGAAGAGCGATCCCCTAAGATGCAGACTGATGCCTTCAGATTCCAGCTGCTGGTTCATTGGATCTGGCAACCTGGTTTTGAGACAGGGCTGTTGTCTCCCTAGAAAACCCCCTCAAGACCTGACTGTGGTGCTCGTGGGCAGGAGACAACTTTGGATCTGGGCTCAGCATTTGGAAGTTCCGTGTACACGCTGGTATCTGTTAGGGGTGTCTTGGGCCTCTGAGAAGGGCGACTGATTTTTCTCTGTATGAAAACGCAGTGATCCAACTGTGCGTACGTCACCTCCTGAGGGTCTTGTTCATCAGAGTCCTGGAGAGAGGGAAATGCTGAGTGAGGGAGGGTGCTCACATTTTTCAGGACTATTAGGGATAAGACTGTATCCGTGAGGCTGGGCCGAGGAGGACCTACCTGCCTATTCACTGTTCTGTCCCCCGCAGGCTCTTGGTCCATTACAGCAGCATCTGTAGGAGACGGAAGTCATCAAAACCGCTTGGAGGGCCCTTCTGGGTCCTCATTTCATGGGCAGACACCAACCCACAGGGGGAGGCTGTAGGTGCCTGAGGCTCTTCAGCTGCCAACATCCAGACTCAGACATTCTATCTCTCTGAGTTCAAGACCCCATCCCATGAAGTGCTCTCAATTGGCATCCCATTGATTCTGTCTCCCACTTTCTGCCTGTCATGGAAGCTTCTGGATGTCAGTAGCTGCAGGGGATGTGAGGATACAGTTCAGAACCAGGCAATGGTCTGTGAGCTGAAGGCAGGGGCAGGTTGTCTGGTGCTCTCTCTAGAAAGCCCTGCCTCTGTGGCTCCTCCCTTGGGCCAGGGACCATCCTGCCAGTGAGGAACACACACCCGCGTGCTCCCATCCTGCTTCCCCACATGGCCCTGAGCTCTCTGGCCTCTGCTTCGTGAGACTTACTCTTTTTGTTGGAGCACCAGCGATAAAGGAGAAAGAAGAGGAGGAGGATGAAGAGGAAGATGACCACTGAGGTCCCAATCAGAACATGCAGGTGTCTGCAGATACCTGGAGGAAGATGGGAATCCAATAAGAAGCTAATCATAGCAGTTCCTCTTTATGGATTGTCTCATTTCTTGATTGACAGGTAACCACATGGAACATCTCCTTAGGACAAGCAGCCTGATGGCGGGAGACCCAGCTTTCTCCTGCTTTCTCAGTTACAGCTCTCATAGAAACCATAGAACATGCTGAGGATACAGCTGCTTTAGTTTAGATGTTTGACCCTTTGAAACCTCACACTGAAATATTGAAATTTAACCCCCAGTGTGGAAGTTTGGGCCTATGGGAAGGTGTTTGAGTCATGGAGGTGGATCCATCATGAATAGATTAATGCTGCCCCACATGATGGGGTTAGCAAGTTCCCCCTCTATTAGTTCCCGGAGGGCTGGTTGTTAAAAAGAGCTTGGAAGCTCCATCGCTCGCCCTCCCCCTTGCTCCCTCTCTTGCCATGTGATCTCTGTGGTCTCTGCACAGACAGACCCTCCTTCCCTTCTGCCAGAGTGGGAGCAGCCTGAGGCCGTCACAGGAAACAGATGCTGGTGCCATGCTTCCAGTACAGCCTGCAGAACTGTGAGGCAAACAAATCTGTTTTCTCTAGAAGTTGCCCAGGCTCTGGGATGCAAGGCTGGTTCAATATATGCAAATCAATAAATGTAATCCATCATATAAACAGAACCAAAGACAAAAACCGGACGACTATCTCAATAGATGCAGAAAAGGCCTTTGACAAAATTCAACAACGCTTCATGCTAAAAACTCTCAATAAATTAGGCATTGATGGGACGTATCTCAAAATAATAAGAGCCATCTATAACAAACCCACAGCCAGTATCATACTGAATGGGCAAAAACTGGAAGCATTCCCTTTGAAAACTGGCACAAGACAGGGATGCCCTCTTTCACCACTCCTATTCAACATAGTGTTGGAAGTTCTGGCCAGGGCAATTAGGCAGGAGAAGGAAATAAAGGGTATTCAATTAGGAAAAGAGGAAGTCAAATTGTCCCTGTTTGCAGATGACATGATTGTATATATAGAAAACCCCATTGTCTCAGCCCAAAATCTCCTTAAGCTGATAAGCAGCTTCTACAAAGTCTCAGGATACAGAATCAATGTACAAAAATCACAAGCATTCTTATACACCAATAACAGACAAACAGAGAGCCAAATCATGAGTGAACTCCCATTCACAATTGCTTCAAAGAGAATAAAATACCTAGGAATCCAACTTACAAGGGATATGAAGGACCTCTTCAAGGAGAACTACAAACCACTGCTCAATGAAATAAAAGAGGATACAAACAAATGGAAGAACATTCCATGCTCATGGGTAGGAAGAATCAAGATCGTGAAAATGGCCATACTGCCCAAGGTAATTTATAGATTCAATGCCATCCCCATCAAGCTACCAATGACTTTCTTCACAGAATTGGAAAAAACTACCTTAAAGTTCATATGGAATCAAAAAAGAGCCTGCATTGCCAAGTCAATCCTAAGCCAAAAGAACAAAGCTGGAGGCATCATGCTGCCTGACTTCAAACTATACTACAAGGCTACAGTAACCAAAACAGCATGGTACTGGTACCAAAACAGAGATATAGATCAATGGAACAGAATAGAGCCCTCAGAAATAATGCCACATATCTACAACTATGTGATCTTTGACAAACCTGAGAAAAACAAGCAATGGGGAAAGGATTCCCTATTTAATAAATGGTGCTGGGAAAACTGGCTAGCCATAGGTAGAAAGCTGAAACTGGATCCCTTCCTTACACCTTATACAAAAATTAATTTGAGATGGATTAAAGACTTAAACGTTAGACCTAAAACCATAAAAACCCTAGAAGAAAACCTAGGCATTACCATTCAGGACATAGGCATGGACAAGGACTTCATGTCTAAAACACCAAAAGCAACGGCAACAAAAGCCAAAATTGACAAACGGGATCTAATTAAACTAAAGAGCTTCTGCACAGCAAAAGAAACTACCATCAGAGTGAACAGACAAC
Source organism: Homo sapiens (assembly GCF_000001405.40). Lineage (NCBI taxonomy): Eukaryota > Metazoa > Chordata > Mammalia > Primates > Hominidae > Homo > Homo sapiens. The sequence goes on along the minus strand of NT_187671.1, from coordinate 142,750 downwards.
CTACAAAATGGGAGAAAATTTTCGCAACCTACTCATCTGACAAAGGGCTAATATCCAGAATCTACAATGAACTCAAACAAATTTACAAGAAAAAAACAAACAATCCTATCAAAAAGTGGGCAAAGGACATGAACAGACACTTCTCAAAAGAAGACATTTATGCAGCCAAAAAACACATGAAAAAATGCTCACCATGACTGGCCATCAGAGAAATGCAAATCAAAACCACAATGAGATACCATCTCACACCAGTTAGAATGGCGATCATTAAAAAGTCGGGAAACAACAGGTGCTGGAGAGGATGTGGAGAAATAGGAACACTTTTACACTGTTGGTGGGACTGTAAACTAGTTCAACCATTGTGGAAGTCAGTGTGGCGATTCCTCAGGGATCTAGAGCTTGAAATACCATTTGACCCAGCCATCCCATTACTGGGTATAAACCCAAAGGACTATAAATCATGCTGCTATAAAGACACATGGACACGTATGTTTATTGTGGCACTATTCACAATAGCAAAGACTTGGAACCAACCCAAATGTCCAACAATGATAGACTGGATGAAGAAAATGTGGCACATATACACCATGGAATACTATGCAGCCATAAAAAATGATGAGTTCATGTCCTTTGCAGGGACATGGATGAAATTGGAAATCATCATTCTCAGTAGACTATCACAAGGACAAAAATCCAAACACCGCATGTTCTCACTTATAGGTGGGAATTGAACAATGAGAACACATGGACACAGGAAGGGGAACATCACACTCTGGGGACTGTTGTGGGGTGGGGGGAGGGGGGAGGGATAGCATTAGGAGATATACCTAATGCTAAATGACGAGTTGATGGGTGCAGCACACCAGCATGGCACATGTATACATATGTAACTAACCTGCACATTGTGCACATGTACCCTAAAACTTAAAGTATAATAATAATAAAAATTTTAAAAAAAAGCTCATCAGAAGCACTATACAAAAAAAAAAAAAAAAAAAAAAGAAGTAACCCAGGCTCAAGTGTTCTTTTATAGCAACAAAAATGGACTAAGACAGCAACGTCCTGAGATCAGGAGGAACGTCTCAGAACAGCCTGTGCTGTCTTCCTGTTCTTCCTGGAGGAGGACGTCATGCAGTGCTTTAGCTGAGTGCTTCCTGTGGCTTCAGGGTACAAAACCCAGGCTGGGCTATTTTCTGGCTTCCCCCAGATACACTGCAAATGAGGTGACTCCATATGTCCCGAGCAGCTTTTCTGAGCCTTGAGGGACTGGCTCACGTTGAAATGTAGGCTTCTGTTGTCACTCGCTGCTTATCTGTTAGTAATGAACCTGCCTATGTAACGTATTCTCTGTGTGTTCTGTCTCCCTGGAGTGACGGTGAGTGATAGAAATTGGCATAGGCCCAGGTGCAGTACAGCAGGTGTTTAGAGTCTTCTCTGGAAAGACTGGACTGGGATTGATACACAGTGAATGTGCTTTACAGTTTCTACATCCACAACCCTCTTGACTCAAATTACATTCTCCAAGAAAAGGACACAAAAGTGAAATCAAGATCAAAAAAGCAAAGTAGAATTCTCTTATGTCAAACAGCCAGGAAATAATGATGAAGCCCATGTGAAACGTGCTACTCTTTGTGATCTCGCGAGACACATGTTAGGCTGCTGTTCCACCTGAGAGGCTGGGGGAAAGACCACCCCCTCCACCATCTATTGCTTCAAAACCACCTGTCCTCCTGTGAATTAGTAGGAAAGGGGAGCAGGAGCTAGTGCTGGTGCTGATCTCTGATTCCAAGATCTGAACTCACTCCAAGGAGTATTAGCGTTTACCTCCCCATGATCTATCTGTATCTCCACAGGTGATTGGAAGTAGGGGTGAGGTGGGGGATTTGGGTGAGGGGGAAAGTTTCTTGTGATGAACAGAGCACTTTCCCTATTTCAGGGCCTGTGCTGGTGGGTTCAGGGGGCTTTCATATTTTCCATATGATCTCATGTTCACAGAAAGCCAAATATGGAAGAGGTTTTAGGCTGATTTTCTAATGGATAAGATAAAGGATCAAAGAAGTAATTATAGAGGAATAGAAAAATGATGATTGGAATTCAGGTGCCTGCATCATTTGTGTATATTATTATATTTATGTATTTTTTATTTTTATTTTTTGAGACAGAGTATCCCTGTGTAGCCCAGGCTGGTGTGCAGTGATGCGATCTCCACTCACTGCAACCTCTGCCTCCAGGGCTGAAGTCATTCTCCTGCTTCCTCCTCCAGAGTAGCTGGGATTACAGTCATGCACCACCATCATGCCTGTTTAATTTTTGTATTTTTAGTAGAGATAGGGTTTCTCCATGTTGGCCAGGCTGGTCTCGAACTCCTGACTTCATGTGATCCACCCGCGTTGGCCTCCTGAAGTGCTGGGTTACAGGCGTGAGCCACCGTTCACAGCCTTGTATATTATGCTATACTAGGTCCCTTCATTTGCACCACCCCTCATCTAGCTCTCCCTCCTCTGCCAGGTATTGATTTAGATGCAGGAGAAATAAATCTCAGAAATAAGTTAGTGAAGCGAGGATTAAACTACCAGGAAAAATTAAACCCAGCAAGCCTTTCCAGCCAATGATTCTACCTCACAAACATATCTTATATCCATCTACTTCATTCATTTAGTGTCTAAATCAGCACCACATTTCACCAGTGGGGCGGCAATTGCCTTTTCCACGGTCTCCTAGATTCCAGTTATGCAACTGAGCCTCCCTTATTTTCATGTCAGTCATATTAATCATGTAGGGATTCCTGGTTACCTCGAGGTGAATCCAATGGCTGTGAGTGTCAAACACACGCTCCTTGTTGCTCCTTAGTTTCCTGTGTACCCAGTGTGCTCTCCGTCTCTCTACAGTCATCTTGTCATTCTCCCCACCTCATTCCCAGCATTTGAGTCAGAGCCTCTTCCTTCCACATCAGATTGTTTTCACCTTTGTGCCTTCACGGCTGACAGCTGTGTGTGCAAAATCCTTCCGCCAATCTTTCAGGGGTTCAATCCGTGTTTTTCATTAATGTCACAAATATCTGATTAGTGAGAACTTCTCTGTCACCTGAAATAATACACTCAGCATTATCTATTATTGATTTGAAAATTTGGCTTGGCCCCGTGGCTCATGCCTCTTATCCCAGCGTGTTGGGAGGCAGAGGCTATTGGATCACCTGAGGTTGGGAATTTGAGACCAGCCTGGCCAACATGGTGAAACATCCTCTCTACAGAAAATATGCAAAAAGAGTTAGCCGGGCGTGGTGGTTGTGGTCTGTAATCCCAGCTACTGGAGAGGCTGAGGGAGGAGATCAGTTCAGCCCAGGAGGTGGAGGTTGCAGTGAGCCGAGATCATGCCACCGCACTCTAGCCTGGACGACAGAGCAAGGCTCCGTCTCAATAAACAAGTAGGTAAATACATAAATAAATAGATTTCATGCACAGATGCTTCTCAATAGATCATTCATTTATTGGTCCCCTTGTGCCTACATTTTCTGCCCTCCCATTTAACCATCTGCAAGATCAGTGTCCCAAGAACAGAGGCCAAATGCATCTTGTTCACTGTTTGTGGAAGGCAGGAGAATGTTGTCCCACCCCAAAAATGTCCATGTCCTAGCCTCCATAGCTTGTGAATATGTTATTTTACATGAAAGGAGGAATGAAGATTGCAGATGGAATTATGGTTGCTAGTCAGCTGAACTTAAAAGGAGGGTATCCTGGATGATTTCCGGGAGATTATGATGGATTTTCATCTTGGTGAACCCAATAGAATCCCCAAGTTTTCAAAAGAAGGGCAAGAAGGGAGAGCAGCATTCAGAGAAAGAGGTGTGGTAAGGAAGAAGGGTCTGAGTGATGCCATGTGAGATGTGACCAGTCTTTGTGGGCTTTGAGGAAGGAGGAAGGGTACCAGGAGCCAAGGAACATGGGAGCCTCTAGAAGCTGAGAAAAGTGAGAAGCAGATTCTTGCCTGGAACCCTCAGAGGGAAGGCAGCCTTGCTGTCACCTTGATTTTAGCCCAGTGACATGCACGTCATGCTTTGAGCTACAGCACTGTAAGATAATTAAATAACCGTTTTGTTTTCACACACGAATCTTGTGGAAATTTGTTATGGCAACAATAGGAAAAGCTTCCACACTGCACAGCCTGAGCATGGGGCTGTGGCTGAATGAGTCACTGAGTCGAAGTGTGCGTGCATGAGCTCTGTTCTCTGTTACGGCAAGGCTCTTGCTCTGCTGAGTCAGCCAGGGTTGCCTGATGACCAACAGTAATTCATTCCTTGGCAAGTGGAACTTCTCTAAAACACCCACCCTCATCAGATGTTCCCTTCCCTTCCCTCTCTCAAGCCCCCGGGAATTTATCCTCCAGTTAGGAATGCAGGCAGAAAAAACACTGCATTTTTCCTGAGAAGGATGTCAGATTGGCAATTATTCTTCTAGCTTGTAGGAGGTCTCACCTGCAGGAAATTAAAGGTAAAGAGACTTCGCTGAGCCCTTTGGTGGCCCTAGATCCCTTTCACTGTTGGAGTGTCTGGAGTTCAGAGATGGTGGAAGACAGGCCCTCATTCACAGAGCTGGGAGGTTTGAGCCAACACTTGCATCCAAGGCTTCCACCTCCCCAGGTTTCCAAAAGCAGAGATAAGAGGGGTCCTTTACTCACCAGATTTGGAGCTTGGTTCTGTGGGTGAAGGCCAACTACTTGAAGGGTTTCCTAGAACACGGGACAGGAGAGATGTGAGGAAATGAGGGTGCTTGTCCTCTACTCAATGGAAATCTTTGAGGTTGGTTCATGGCCAACACTCTGTTATCTAATGTTGGACCCTGGGAGTCTTGGGATCCTTTTCTCCATAATTTTTGTGTGCGATGCCCACTGTCTTGAGACTTGAAGGTATAAAGAGAAAACAGGAGCATCACACTACCTGACTTAGAAATATGTTACAGAGCTGTAGTAAGCAAAACAGCATGACATTGGCATAAAGAAAGGCACATAAAAAATGGAACAGAATGGAGAACACAGATATAATCCATGCATTTACATCCAATGGCTTTCTTTTGTGTGTGTGTGATAGAATCTTGCTCTGTCATGCAGGCTGGAGTGTAGAGGTGCAATCTCAGCTCAATGCAACCTCCACTTCCTGGATTCAAGAAATTCTCTTGCTTCAAACTCCTGAGTAGTGGTATTACAGGCACTGATCACCATGCTCAGCTAATTTTTGTATTTTTAGTAGAGACGAGGTTTCACTCTGTTGGCCAGCCTGGTCTTGAACTCCTGGCTTTAGGTGATCCACCCGCCTCGGCCTCCCAAAGTGCTGGAATTGCAGGTGTGAGCCACCATACCCAGCCCATTTAATGGACTTTGACAAAGGTGCCGAGAACTTACAATCAGGAAAGGACAGTCTTCAATAAATGGTGTGGGGAAAACTGGATATCTACATGCAGAGGAATAAAACTGCATCTATACCTGTCACCTTACACAAAAATCAAATGAAAATGGATTAAAAACATGAGTCTAAGGCCTGAACCTATGAAACATGTAGAAGAAAATAATGGGGAAGACATTTGTCTGATGAAAGACATTTTGTTTAAAACCTTCAAAACACAAGTAATCAAAGCAAAAAATAGACCATTAGGATTACATCAAACCAAGCAACTTCTGCACCACCAAAGATAAACCAACAAAGTGAAGAGACAACCCACAAAATAGGAGCAAATATTTGCAAACTATTCATCTGAGATGGGATTAATAACTGGAAATATAAGAAGCTCAAACAACTCAATAAAACAATTTAATTAAAAAACGAGCAAAAGACATGAGGAGACATTTCTCCACAAACAAAACATAGAAATGGCGATCACGTATATGAAAAAGTGCTCAGCATCACTCATCATCACAGAAATGTAAATTACAATCGCGATGAGTTTTCATCTCATCCCATTAAAATGCCTTTTAGGCCGGTGGCTCACGCCTGTAATTCCAGCACTTTGGGAGGCGGAGGTGGGCGGATCACCTGAGGTCGGGAGACCAGCCTGACCAACATGGAGAAACTCCCTCTCTACTAAACATACAAAAATTAGCTAGGCGTGGTGGCACATGCCTGTAATCCCAGCTACTTTGGAGGCTGAGGCAGGAGAATCAGTTGAACGCGGGAGGCAGAGGTTGCAGTGAGCCGAGATCACACCCTTGCACTCCAGCCTGGGCGACTATGAGTGAAACTCCATCTCAACATAAATAAATAAATAAATAAAGTAAAGTAAAATGGCTTTTATCTGCAAGACAGGCAAAACAAATGCTGGCAAGATGGTAGAGAAAGGAGAACCCTGGTACCCTGTTGGTAGGAATGTAAATTAGTACAACTATTATGGAGAAAAGTATGGAAAATCTTTAAAAAACTAAAAGGAGGCTGGGCATAGTGGCTTATGCCTGTAACTTCAGCACTTTGGGAAACCGAGGCAGGCACCTCACTTGAGGTCAGGAGTTTGAGAGCAGCCTGCCCAAAATTGGGATATCCCGTCTGTGCTAAAAAATACAAGAATTAGTCAGGCATGGTGGCGTGCACCTGTAATCACAGCTATTAGGGAGGCTGAGTCAGGAGAATCGTTTGAACCTAGGAAGCAGAGGTTGCAATGAGCCAAGATCGCACCACTTTGACTCCAGCTTGGACTAAGGAGGGAAACTCTTTCTCAAAAAAGAAAAAAAAAAAAAGAGAACTTTCATAGTGTCCAGCAATTTCACTACTGGGTTTATATCCAAAGGAAAGGACATCAGTGTATCGAAGTGATATCTGCACTCATATGACTGTTCCAGCACTGTTCACAGTAGCCAAGATGTGGAGTCAACCTACCTGCCTATCAGTGGGTGAATGGATAGAGAACTGTAGTACACACACACGGTGGAGACTACTCATCCATAGAAACAATAACATCCTGTCATTTGCAGCCACATGGATGGAACTGGAGGTCATTACAAAGATTCCCATTTCTCACCACATGCAGGAGATAAAAGGTGGATCTCATGAAGGTAGAGAATAGAATGGTGGATACCAGAGGCCAGGAAGGGAAGGGTGGAAGGTAACAAAAAAAAGAATATAGATGTATTTATTTATTTAGAAACAGAGTCTCTCTCTGTCTCCCAGGCTGCAGTGCAGTGGCATGATCTCGGCTCAGTGCAACCTCTGCCTCCTGGCTTTAAGTGCTTCTCCTGCCTCAGCCTCCCAAGTAGCTAGGACTACAGGTGCATGCCGGCATGCTTGGCTAATTTTTCTTGTCTGTTTAGTAAAGATGAATTTCCCGCATGTTGGCCAGGCTGATCTCGAGTCCCTGATCTTAAATGATCCACCTTTCTTGGCCTCTCAAAGCGCCAAGATTACAACCGTGAACCACCACACCCAGCATATAAAGGTATTTATGACCACTAGATTTTACTTTTAAAAATGGTAAAGTTGGTAAATTATATAGTTACATTTAACCTCAATAAATATTTTTGAAAATGAAAAGAAAAGAGTGTAGGGGTTGCTGGTGATGACATCTCTCTGTGTGGGTGAGAGGCCAGGATGGGCTTCTGGGAAATGGGTAAGGTTGAGGGGCTGAGGGAACCTCTGATCTCCCCAAACTGAGCCCAGTCTCCCCTTCTCTGGGTCTGTCCTGACCGCTTTCTCCATCTGCCTGGGTGCCTGGAGCCCTGACCATGGGCCTCCATGCAGGCCATGCAAGAGGGTTTGGAGGTGCCCTGTCTGCCATCCTGCACCCTGACCCCCCCCTCACACCCAGTCTTCGTGTTCTCTCTGCATCTGTCCATGCTTCTCCCCATCATCGGCAGGAAGCTCCTCAGCTATGGCTCTAGGATCATAAGACATGGGACAGACACGGGTTTTCCTCACCTGTGACAGAAACAAGCAGTGGGTCACTTGAGTTTGACCACACGCAGGGCAGGGCACGGAAAGAGCCGAAGCATCTGTAGGTCCCTCCGTGGGTGGCAGGGCCCAGAGGAAAGTCTGCCTGGAATGTTCTGTTGACCTTGGGCACTGCACGGAGCCTACGTTCATGGGCCTCCCCTTCCCTGGACAGATGGTAGATGTCATAGGAGCTCCAGGAGCTACAGGACAAGGTCACGTTCTCTCCTGCCTGAACCGTGGGGCCCGGCTGGGCTGAGAGAGAAGGTTTCTCATATAGACCTGGAAGGAGAAGAGGCAGTTTCCTCAGGGAGGTTCTTCCTTGTCACAGCTCCCCTCATACCTGAGCTGAGAACTCACTCCCCTGCTCTATGACCTAATGCTCTCTCTCTCTCTCACCCTCCACCCCAACTCTCTTCATGTCTATTTCCTCCTTCCGCCTTCTCTGTCTCTCTAGGTCTCTGACCTCACTTCCCCACCCCTGGGTATGCTTTCCCTTTTTGGATTGTTTTATTCTCTCTGACTCTCCTTGGATTGGTTGACTTGATCTTCCTTTTTCTATAATTCTGAGTCTCTCACTTTCTGTCTTGTTCATAACTTTCTGCATATTTCTATCTATTATCTATCTATCTATTTTGTGTCTATCTACAAATTATCTGTCATCTATATCTATGTATCATTTATCTATCAATTGTCTATCTGTCTATCCATCAATCATCTATGTATTATCTGTATCTATGTATCATCTCTCTCTCTCTCTATTACCTCTCTGTCTGCCTGTCAGTCTCTATGTATCATCTATGTATCTATATATTTATATATGTGTCTTCTATCTATCTTCATCATCATCATCATCATCTCTATGTATCATCTATCAATCATCATCTATGTATCTATAACCTATCCATTATCTATCATCTACCTATTTATCATCTATCTATATCTATCTATCCATCTATCATCTGTCTCTCTCCATCTCCTTGTCTTTCTCTGCCTCTCAGTCTCTCTAGTTCTATTTGGAATCTCTGCAATCCATCCCCACATCTTTATCTTTCTCTGTCTTTGTGCCCCTCCCTCAGGGTTCTGATTTTGGGGCTTTTCTCTCCTCCCTTCCAGCATTCTCTCCACTCCTCTGCCCTCTTTTCTTTCTTTTTGTGTGTCTGTGAGTCTCTCAATCCCCTTCCTCTGGCTCATTCTCTGTGTGTTTATGCCTTTGCTTTTTGAAGTCCCTGATTTATCTCTGTGTCTCTCAGTGATCCTATTATATGTAGGATTATTTGGAATATGAGCCTCAGAATCTAGTCTGGGGACACCAAGTACACACAGTATTTAGGGGTTGGTGTTCTGGGGCCATGATATCCTGGGATAATTATGGCTCCACTGCATGGAAGGCAGAGGTGTCAGAATAAACATGGCATCTGTAGATGCCACAAGGCCTGAGGCCACAGGGCCCAACTCAGGTCAGAAATATGGGTGTCCTTGGGTTCTCCTCGTAGAAGCACTTTGTGGAGACAAAACAGAAATGAAACTTCTAACCTGTGCCAGGTCTCTGAGCAAAGTCAGCATGGAAGGACACTTCTCTCTGGCACATGTCTGTCTGTCTGAGTGTCTCCTTTACCTCTTTCTCTCTTTTCTACTTCCCCGTATGGCCCCTGTGTCTGTCCTCTGTTATGACACCTGGTCTGTACTTATGTCTCCTGTTTCCCTGTCTCTGTTGGTACAGACCTCACCGAGTCAGTCTCTCTCCATAAGAATCCCACGCTTATCTTCCTCATGACCACCTGGGGGTTCCAAGTCCTGGATCATTCACTCTGTGTCCCAATGACAATGAGAAGAATGTCTGGACACTCTCACCTGTGATCACGATGTCCAGGGGGTCACTGGGAGCTGACAACTGATAGGGGGAGTGAGGAACAGAACCATAACATCTGTAGGTTCCTGCAAGGACAGGCATCAAGGGACCGATGGAGAAGTTGGCCTTGGAGACCCCATCATGGATCTGTCCAACGAGGCGTGAGGGGTCCTCAGAGATCCCCTCTCTGTGCAGAAAGAAGTGCTCAAACATGACATCTGACCAACATTGCAGGATGACTGTCTCTCCTGATTTCAGCAGGGGCCCTGGGTGGGCCAGGAGGGAAGGTTTTCTGTGGTTTCCTAGAAAGAGAAGTTGTGAGTTTAGAAGGCATCTCTCTTTATCATCCCATCCATGGCACCTGGAATGAGTGAGGGTTCCCCTCCCAGAGGTCTGTCTCTCTCCTCCCTCTCTGTGTCTCCGTGTCTTTTCTGTGCCCATATCCCCTGGTGCAGGTCCCTCCATTTGTCTTCCTCCCTCTTCTCTGTCCCTCTGTCTCCAGTAGCCCCTGACTCCCTTCCCACTGTGAAGAGAGCCTCATCTCTTGGGCTGTTGTATCTCTTTCCCACTAGTCTCTTTCCTGCTGTCTATGTGGGGGTGGAAGAGGACAGGCTGCATGTCCAGGCTCTCAGCAGCCTGAATCAATCTCTTTTGAACAAATTGGAGTCTCTGGCAGAGGTATCAACTCATCAGTAAGGCAGACATCAGTGTCCACACACCCTGTTCCTGATGGGGATTGGGAGCCTCTCCTGCCATGTCTGTGCCTTCTCCATGGCCCCAGCTTCCATAGGGTGGTCCCTGGTGCTGGTTCCAGGAGCATCAACCCCTTCCTATGTGGATGGAGCCTGGTGGTGGCATCAGCATCCCACCCTTGCTGATCCCACGGTAGCCAACCTTCTCCTTGTTTGGTTTCTTTAATTAATTGATTAATTAATTTATTTTTGAGACAGTCACTTTTTCACCCAGGCTGGAGTGCAGTGGTGTTGTCTTGGCTCACTGCAACCTCTGCCTCCCCGGTTCAAGTGATTATCTTGCCTCAGCCTCCCCAGTCGTTGGATTACTCGTGCCCACCACCACACCTGGCTATCCTTGTTTGGTTTCCTAGCTTGTCCTTGACCTGGGTTCCTGTGTCGGTTTCCTGTTGCTGCTGCAGAAAATTATCACAAACATGGCAGCAGGAGAGAACACACTGACCCCTTCCACTTCTGGGGACAGAAATTGGATCCAGTTCTCCCTGTGCTGAAATCAAGGCATCTGCAGGGCTGCGTTCCCTCTGGAGACTCAGCAAATCAGTTCTCTTGACTTCTCCAGCCCTTAGAGGCCACCTGCATTCTGTGACTAGTGGCCTTCCTCCACCTTCAAAGCCCACAGTGGCTGATAGCGTCTCCCTCCCACTACACTGCTCTAATCCCCACTCCCCTCTTCCTCCACCTCTCACGCGGACCCTTGTGATTACACTGAGCCCAGCAGGACAGTCCAGGCTGTCTCCCCATCTCAAGGTCAACTCATCAACAACCTGAGCTCCACCTTCCCCTTCAGTCCCCTGCCCTATAACATAAATAGTCACAGGCTCCAGGGTTTACAATGTAGCCATCATTGGCGACAGTTATTCTTCCCACCACAGCGCCCATTTCCCCTGTATTCAATCTCCCTTGACCCCAAATACAGTTGGGGCCTGGGTGATGGGACCCTGATGGACACCCCCACCAGAAGCTCTGGGATTCAGGAGGTGGGACAGTGAGAAGCCCAGACAGAAAGCCTCTGACCTGTGACCATGATCACCAGGGGGTTGCTGGGTGCCGACCACCCAGTGAGGGAGTGTGGGCGTGAACCCCGACATCTGTAGGTCCCTGCATGTGCTGGGGTCACAGGGCCCATGATGAAGCTCTCCTGGAATATTCTGCCGTGGAAGATGGGAACGTGGCTTCTGTCTTCTTTGTACAGCATGAAATTGTTAAACCCACGACGATAGTGACACTGAAGAGCCACGTGTCCTCCTCGAGGCACCACAGTGCTGGGCCGGGCAGACAGGAAGGGTTTGTCCTGACCACCTGGGGGAGAAGGAGGCACTGCCTTAGAGAGGAGGATGTGGAGCCACCCCTCCCTCCCTGTGCTCAGAAGATTCTCCCATTTCCGCTTTCTAAGGCTCCTACCACACCTGGGTGCCCAGGGCTACAGGAAGGACCCACCCCACATAGACATGGCGTCTCCCTACAACAAGTGTCAGCTGAGAACTTTGAGCAAGTGCTGAATAAGTGACTCTTACTAGATTTTAATACTGCAAAATTACTCACATAAAACAACACAAAGTAGACACGGCATGGAGGGCATGTCCTATGTGAATGGAATATCAGCCAATTCATGAACTGAGCCCCCTCAGAGGATTTGGAATGTCAGGGCCATGGCTGTGGTTTCCCCCCTCTTCTGGTAGAAAGACCGCAGCCACACTGCAGCCCCTACCGTCACGGAAACGCTGGAGGGTGTCAGTTATACCTTTGTCCTCAGAGGACCTGCTGTTCCTAGCACTGCTTCCCTCTCTTTCTCTGCTGCTGACACCACTTCCTCCCTGCACACCCCAGCTTGGAGCACCCCAGTCTCACCCCAGTCTTCACAGAGCTTGACTCAGGAAAGGGAAAGAAAGGCCGGGGAGGGCGAGGTCAGAAATGTGGGCCGAGTATCCAAGGGTCCCCTCTTCCTAGTTTATGAGAGACTCCCCGACAGGACTTCCCTCCTGTTTCAGAAAAATCCTCTTATGTGGGGAGATGACACCCTAAGGTTTGGGGAAGGACTCACCCATGAGTGGCCAGGCCCCCTGCAGCAAGAAGAACCCTGGAAAGAAAGATCATGATAGACGATCCAACTGCAGGCAAACCAGGGCACCCTGCTGCCCCCACTGCACTGTGTGTCTTGGCAGCCAGGCCCTTGCTGGGCTGAAGGTAAACTTAGCCTCCCTGCTACCTGCTGCCAAGAACAGGGCTCTCAGCTGTGGAGAGACCCAGGCTCCAGGCCCAGATCAACACTTCCTGGCCCAGATCTCCACTCCAGGCCCATATCTCCACTCCAGGCCCCTATCTCCACTCCAGGCCCCTATCTCCACTCCAGGCCCATATCTCCACATCAGACCCATATCTCCACTCCAGGCCCAGATCTCCCCTCTAGGCCCATATCTCCACTCCAGGCCCATATCTCCACTCCAGGCCCATATCTCCACATCAGACCCATATCTCCACTCCAGGCCCAGATCTCCACCTGCAGGCCCATATCTCCACTCCAGGCCCATATCTCCACTCCAGGCCCGTATCTCCACTCCAGGCCCATATCTCCACACCCAGGCCCATATCTCCCCTCCAGGCCCATATCTGCACTCCAGGCCCATATTTACACCTCCAGGCCCATATCTCCACACCCAGGCCCATATCTCCACTCCAGGCCCATATCTCCACTCCAGGCCCATATCTTTACCTCTAGGCCGAGATCTCCATCCCCACTCTCCCTCCCTCTATTCCCTTCCAGGACTCACCAACGCACGCCATGCTGACGACAGTGAGCGACATGGTGCTGCCGGTGCAGACAGGAGGCCGCGCCCCAGCTCAGCTCAGCAGCGCACAGGATGTTATTTGGCGCCCTGCCCATGCAGTTTACATGTTGACCACATCATGGGAGGGTGACGTACGCAGGCTCTTTCTACCTTGCATGAGGCCCAGTGGGTGCTCGCTCAAGAGCGGAACATGGCTTCCTGGAAATTGTTGTGACTACAATTGCCACCTTGCATCCTTCACTATGACCAGACTCAAAAGACGTCTCAGATCCAACCTCTCACACATGAGGTGATTGAATTCTGTGCTTACATTAAAGACTTTTGATGTATTTTTGTTTTTATCTGAGATTCAAACTTTTCTTCATGTGTAATGTGCAAAATATCTAAGAGGTATTATTAACATTATCAGAGTAATTGTGACAAAAAGCCATTCTAATTTTCCTGATGAGTTTCTAGTACTAAACCTGAGGCACGAGAATTGCTTGAACCTGGGAGGCGGAGGCTGCAGTGAGCTGAGCTCAAGCCACTGAACTCCAGCTTGGGTGACAGAGGAAGAGTCTGTCTCAAGAAAGAAAAAAAAAAGCAAACTAAATAACCTATAATAACAAATCAGAGAACTCAGGTTACCAAATTTTAAGGGGTTCTATAAGTTTATATGAAATGCAGCATCCTCATGAGAGGGGATACAGAGAACCACTGGGCAGAAAACTGTGTCTAAAATACATCTGTGGATACACAGTCCCTTTATAGTTGACAAAGGCTGCCATGTAGTTTAAGGTGGAATAGAATATTTTCTCAATAAATAACACAGGACCATAGGGTTACACGTAGGAAAAAATAAATCTAAACTTATCCTCACACTATAAAAACACTTCTTATTTTTTATCTTGTTGTTGTAAACTTTTTATGCTTTATTTTTAAGATTGACAAATAAAAATTATATACTGTGGTCCTTCACTATTCCTGGGTGATTGGTTCCAGGATCCCCATTCAGATACCAAAATCTGCAGATGCTCAAGCCCCTTGCATGAAATGGCATAGCGAAGCTGGGCACCGTGGCTCACGCCTGTAATCCCAGCACTTTGGGAGGCTGAGTTGGGTAGATCACGAGGTCAGGAGTTCAAGACCAGCTGGTCCAACATTCTGAAACCCCGTCTCTACTAAAAATACACACACAAAAAAATTTATCTGTGCATGGTGGCACGTGCCTGTAATCCTAGGGGAGGCTACTGGGGAGGCTGAGGGAAGACAATCGCTTGAACCTGGGAGGCAGAGGTTGCAGTGAGCTGAGATCATGCCACTGCACTCCAGCCTGGGTGAGAGAGTGAGACTGTCTCAAAAAAAAAAAAAATAGCATAGCAATTGCATAGAACCCATGCACATCCTCCTGTATACATGAAATCATCTCTTGATTACTTATAATTCCTGACACAGCCTACACGCCACTCAATTTGTGTCGATTCAACATAGTTTTTTGCTTCTTGAAACTTCGGGGATTTTTTTCTGAAAATATTTTTGATTTATTGTTGGTTCAATAAACACCTGTAAACCCCACAGATATGGAGGACCGACTGTATATTTATATTATGAAAGATGATATGTTGATATGTGTCCCCGTGGAGATGAGACTAACAAGGCCTATGTCTCTACAAATGTTTCATCGTGGAATGACTCTGCCAGCTTTCCAGGTCTGCAGAGAGTAAGAATATCACTTGTTCATGTGATTCACGATCCTTGGAGCCTCCTATGTGCTGTATCTTTGGATGGAAATTGGAGTCTCAGAGACAAATCAGGCTACATTCTGCTTCCAGAAGCTCAGAGTCCAGGGCTGAGAACCCAATGGAGAACAGATGGGGTTATGTGGACATGGTAATGATAACACCGGAAGCCTTAGGCAAGAAAAGAGTCTCGTTACCGAAACCATGAGGGCAGACATGTTTATTTGAAGGCGGGAAAACTACATTGAAATTATTTAAAAAATTTATAAGTTTTACTGCTGGCAGAAGGCTGAAAGATAGTCTGAAGGGAGGTGGAACAGCACGTGTCTAAGTGCTGTGTTAAGAGGCAGCCTCTTGTATGTTTGGAATTGTGAGTTCCTCAGTGTGATTGCAGCCTCAGGTAGACTAGGAAGTAAGCCAGTTAGGTTGGAGAGGTGGGCAGGGGTCAAGTGAAATGGAGAATTGTGGGCTAAGCAAAGGAGTGTGTTTTCTCTCCAGCAGGCAGTGGGGACCTTAGACATTTGTAAGCAAGAGAGAGGCATGTTCAGATTCGTGGTGTGAGGAAGAGCGATGCCCTAAGATGAAGACTGATGCCTTCAGATTCCAGCTGCTGGTACATGGGAGCTGGCAACCCGGTTTTGAGACAGGGCTGTTGTCTCCCTAGAAGATCCCCTCAAGGCCTGACTGTGGTGCTCGTGGACAGAAGACAACTTTGGATCTGGGCTCAGCATTTGGAAGTTCTATGTACATGCTGGTATCTGTTGGGGGTGTCTTGGGCCTCTCAGAAGGGCGAGTGATTTTTCTCTGTGTGAAAACACAGTGATCCAATTATGCGTATGACACCTCCTGATGGTCTTGTTCATCAGAATCCTGGAGAGAGGGAAATGCTGAGTGAGGGAGGGTGCTCACATTTTTCAGGACTCTTTGGGAATAAGACTAGCCACGAGGCTGGGCCGAGGAGCACCTACCTCGCTGTTCACTGTTCTGTTCCCTGCAGGCTCTTGGTCCATTACAGCAGCATCTGTAGAAGACGGAAGTCAACAAAAGAGCTCGGAGGGCACTTCTGGGTCCTCATTTCATAAGCAGATACCAACAAACAGGGGGAGGCCATAGGTGCCTGAGGTCCCTCAGTTGCCAACAGCAGACTCAGACATTCTATCTCTCTGAGTTCAAGGACCCATCCCATGAATAGCTCTGAGTTCCCATCCCATTGATTCTATCTCCCACTTTCTGCCTGTCATGGAACCTTCTCCTGGATGTGAGTGGCTGCAGGGGACGTGAGGATACAGTTCAGAATCAGGCAATGGTCTGTGAGCTGAAGGCAGGGGAAGGGAATCTGGTGCTCTCTCTAGAAAGTCCTGCCTCTGTGGCTCCTGTCTTGGGCCAGGGACCATCCTGCTGGTGAGGAACACACATCCGCGTGCTCCCATCCTGCTTCCCCACATGG
The DNA here is from genome assembly GCF_000001405.40 of Homo sapiens. Taxonomy (NCBI): domain Eukaryota; kingdom Metazoa; phylum Chordata; class Mammalia; order Primates; family Hominidae; genus Homo; species Homo sapiens. The sequence continues at coordinate 126,292 of NT_187671.1, read as the reverse complement.
CCCTGAGCTCTCTGGCCTCTGCTTCGTGAGACTTACTTTTTTTGTCGGAGCACCAGCGATGAAGGAGAAAGAAGAGGAGGATGGTGAAAGGGATTTTGACCACTGAGGTCCCAATCAGAACATGTAGGTGTCTGGGGTTACCTGGAAGAAGAGGAGACACCAATAAGAAGCTAATCATAGCAGTTCCTCTTTATGAATTGTCTCGCATTTCTTGATTGGCAGGTAACCACATACAACGTCTCTTTAGGACAAGCACCCAAATGGCGGGAGACCTAGCTTTCCCCTGCTTTCTCAATTATAGCTCTCATAGTAACCATAGAACGTGCTGAGGATACAACTACTTTAGTTGAGATGTTTGACCCTTTCAAACCTCACATTGAAATTTCACCCCCATTGTGGGAGGTTGGGCCTCTTCAGAGGTGTTTGGGTCATGGAGGTGGATCCATCATGAACAGATCAATGCTGTCCCAAGGAGACGGGGTTAGCAAGTTCCCCCTCTGTTAGTTCCTGGAGAGCTGGTTGTTAAAAAGAGCTTGGAAGCTCCATCGCTCCCTCTCCCCCTTACTCTCTCTCTTGCCGTGTGATCTCTGCGGTCTCTGCACAGACAGACCCTCCTTCCCTTCTGCCAGAGTGGGAGCAGCCTGAGGCCGTCAAGAGAAATAGATTCTGGTGCCATGCTTCCAGTACAGCCTGCAGAACTGTGAGGCAAACCAATCTCTTTTCTTTAGAAGTTACCCAGGCTCAAGTGTTCCTTTAGAGCAACAAAAATGGACTAAGATAGCAACATCCTGAGATCAGGAGGAATGTCTCAGAACAGCCTGGGCTGTCTTCCTGTTCTTCCTGGAGGAGGACGTCATGCAGTGCTTTAGCTGAGTGCTTCCTGTGGCTCCAGGGTACAAAACCCAGGCTGGGCTGCTTTCTGGCTTCCCCCAGTTACACTGCAAATGGGGTGACTCCATATGTCCCGAGCAGCTTTTCTGAGCCTTGAGGGACTGGCTCACATTGAAATGCAGGCTTCTGTTGTCACTCGCTGCTTATCTGTTAGTAATGAACCTGCCTATGTAACGTATCCTCTGTGTGTTCTGTCTCCCTGGAGTGACGGTGAGTGATAGGAATTGGCATAGGCCCAGGTGCAGTCCAGGATTTGTTTAGAGTCTTCTCTGGGAAGACTGCACTGGGATTGATACACAGCGAATGTGCTTTAGGATTTCTACATCCACAGCATTCTTGAGTCAAACAAATTGCATTCACCAAGGAAAGGAAACAAAGGTGAAATCACGATTAAAAATAGCGAAGCAAGATTCTCTTATGTCAAACAGCCAGAAAATAGTGTTGAAGCCCGTGTGAAATGTGCTGCTCTTTGTGATCTCGGGAGACACATGTTAGGCTGCTGTTCTACCCGAGAGGCTGGGGGAAGGACCACCCCCTCCACCATCTATTGCTTCAATACCACCTGTCCTCCTGTGAATTAGTAGGAAAGGGGAACAGGAGCTAGTGCTGTCGCTGATCTCTGATTCCAAGATCTGGACTCACTCCAAGGAATATTAATGTTTCCTCCCCATGGTCTATCTGAATCTCCACAGGTGATTGGAAGTAGGGGTGAGGTGGGCGATTTGGGTGAGTGGGCAAGTTTTTTTTTGCGATGACCAGAGCACTTTCTCTATTCCAGGATCCGTGCTGGAGGATTCAGCGGGCTTTCACATTTTCTATGTGATCTCATGCTCACAGAAAGCCAAATAGGGAAGAGGTTTTAGGCTGATTGCCTAATGGATAAGATAAAGGATCAAAGAAGTAATTATAGAGAAATAGAAAAATGATGATTGGAATTCAGGTGCCTTTGTCATTCGTGTGTGTTTTATTATATTTATGCATTTCTTATTTTTATTTTTTGAGACGGAGTCTCCTTGTGTCACCCAGGCTGGAGTGCAGTGATGCAATCTCCACTCACTGCAACCTCCACCTCCTGGGTTGAAGTCATTCTCCTGCTTCATCCTCCAGAGTAGGAGCTGGGATTACAGGGATGCACCACCATGCTCGGCTAATTTTTGTATTTTTAGTACAGATAGGGTTTCACCATGTTGGCCAGGCTGGTCTGGAACTCCTGACTTCATGGAATCCACCCGCCTTGGCCTCCTGCAGGGCTGGGTTACAAGCATGAGCCACCGTTCACAGACTTGTATATTATGCTATAATAGGTCCCTTCATTTCCACCACCCCTCATATATCTGTCACTCCTTTGCCAGGTATTGATTTATGTGTAGGATGAATAAATCTCAGAAAGAAATTAATTAAGCGAGGATTAAACAAGTAGGAAAATCAAACCCAGCAAGCCTTTCCAGCCAATGATTCTACCTCACAAGCATATCTTATATCCATCTACTTCATTCATTTAGTGTCTAAATCAGCACCACATTTCACCAGTGGGGCGGCAATTGCCTTTTCCACAGTCTCCTAGATTCCAGTTACGCACCTGGGCCTCCCTTATTTTCTTGTCAGTCACTATTAATCATGTAGGGATTCCTGGTTACCCCGAGGTGAATCCAATGGCTGTGAGTGTCAAACACACACTCCTTGTTCCTCCTTAGTTTCCTGTGTACCCAGAGTGCTCTCCATCTCTCTACAGTCATCTTGTCATTCTCCCCACCTCATTCCCAGCATTTCAGGCAGAGCCTCTTCCTTCAACATCAGATTGTTTTCACCTTTGTGCCTTCACAGCTGACAGCTGTGTGTGGAAAATCCTTCCGCCAATCTTTCAGGGGTTCAATCCGTGTTTTTCATTAATGTCACAAATATCTGATTAGTGAGACCTTCTCTGTCACCCAAAATTATACACTCAGCATTATCTATTATTTATTTTGAATTCTGGCTGGGCAAAGTGGCTCACGCCTGTAATCCCAGTACTTTGGGTTGCTGAGATGGTCGGATCACTTGAGGTTGGGAGTTTCAGACAAGCTTGGCCAACATGGTGAAACATCCTCTCTACAAAAAATATACAAAAAGAATTAGCCGGGCATGGTGGCAGTTGCCTGTAATCCCAGCTACTCGAGAGGGTGAGGCAGGAGAATCACTTGGATCCAGGAGACGCAGGTTGCAGTGAGCCAAGATCGTGACACTGCACTGTAGCCTGGAAGACAGAGGGAGACTCTGTCTCAATAAACAAACGAACAAACAAACAAATAGATTTCATGCACAGATGCTTCCCAATGGATCATTCATTTATTGGTCCACTTGTGCATTCATTTTCTGTCCTCCCATTTAACCATCTGCAATATCAGTGTCCCAAGAGCAGAGGCCAAATGCATCTTGTTCACCATTTGTGGAAGGCAGGAGAATGCTGTCCCACCCCAAAATGTCCCTGTCCTAGCCTCCATAGCTTGTGAATATGTTATTTTACATGGAAAGGAGGAATGAAGATTGCAGATGGAATTATGGTTGCTAATCAGCTGAACTTAAAACAAGGGTATCCTGAATGATTTCCGGGAGATTATGACGGATTTTCATCTTGGTGAACCCAATAGAATCCCCAAGTTTTCAAAAGATGAGGAAGAAGGGAGAGCAGCATTCAGAGAAAGAGGTGTGGTAAGGAAGAAGGGTCTGAGTGATGCCATGTGAGATGTGACCAGTCTTTGTGGGTTTTGAGGAAGGAGGAAAGGGACCAGCAGCCAAGGAACTGGGAGCCTTTATAAGATGGGACAAGTGAGAAGCAGATTCTTGCCTGGAATCCTCAGAGGGAAGGCAGGCTTGCTGTCATCTTGATTTTAGCCCAGTGAGATGCACTTCATGCTTTGAGCTAGAGCACTGTAAGATAATTAAATAACCGTTTTGTTTTCACCCACGAATCTTGTGGAAATTTGTTATGGCAACAATAGGAAAAGCTTCCACACTGCACAACCTGAGCATGGGGCCGTGGCTGAATAAGTCAGTGAGTCAAAGTGTGCGTGCATGAGCTCTGTTCTCTGTTACGGCAAGGCTCTTGCTCTGCTGAGTCAGCCAGGGTTGTTTCATGACCAACAGGAGCTCATTCCTTGGCAAGTGGAACTTCTCTAAAACACCTCGCCCTCATCAGATGTTCGCTTCCCTTCCCTCTCTCAAGCCCCCAGGAATTTATCCTCCAGTTAGGAATGCAAGCAGAACAAACATTGCGTTTTTCCTGAGAAGGATGTCAGATTGGCAATCATTCTTCTAGCTTGTAGGAGGTCTCAGCTCCATAAAATGAGAGATGAAGAGATTTCACTGAGCCCTGTGTTGGGCCCAGATCCCTTTCGCTGTTGGAGTATCTGGAGTTCGGAGATGGTAGAAGACAGGCGTACAATGTCAGAGCTGTGAGATGCTGAGTCAACGCCTGAATCCAAGGTTTCCACCTCCCCAGGGTTCCAAAAGCGGATATAAGAGGGTCCTGTACTCACCGGTTTTGGAGCTTGGTTCAGTGGGTGAAGGCCAACTATTTGAAGGGTTTCCTAGAACATGAGACAGGAGAGAGGTGAGGAAATGAGGGTGTCTGTCCTCTACTCAGTGGAAATCTTTGAGTTTGGTTCATGGCCAACACTCTGTTATCTAACATTGGGCCCTGGGAGTCCAGGGATCCTTTCTTCCATAATTTTTGTATGTGACGCCCACTGTCTTGAGACTTCAAGGTATAAAGAGAAAACAGGAGCATCACACTACCTGATCTCAAAATATGTTACAGAGCTGTAGTAAGCAAAACAGCATGATGTTGGCATGAAGAAAGGCACATAGAACAACGGAGCAGAATGAAGAACACAGATATAATCCATGCATTTACATCCAATTTTTTTTATTTTTTCTTTTGAGATGGAGTCTCGCTCTGTCACCCAGGCTGGAGTGCAGAGGTGCAATCTCGGTTCACTGCAACCTCAGCCTCCTGGGTTCATTCAATTCTCTTGCCTCAAACTCCTGAGTAGTAGTATTACAGGTGCTGACCACCATGCTCAGCTAATTTTTATATTTTTAGTGGAGACGATGTTTCATCACGTCGGCCAGAGTAATCTTGTACTCCTGTCCTCAGGTGATCCACCAGCCTTGGCCTCCCAAAGTGCTGAAGTTGCTGGTGTTAGCCACCATGCCCAGCCCATCCAATGGACTTTGACAAAGGTGCCAAGAACTCACAATCAGGAAAGGACAGTTTTTTCAATAAACAGTGCAGGGAAACCTGGACATCTACATGCAGAGGAATGAAACTGCACCTCTACCTGTCACCATACACAAAAATCAAATGAAAGTGGATTAAAGATGTGAGTCTAAGGCCTGAACCTGTGAAACACGTAGAAGAAAATATTGGGGAAATGCTCCAGTACATTTGTCTGAAGGAAGACATTTTGTTTTAAACCTTCAAAACACAAGTAATCGAAGCAAAAATAGACCATTGGGATTACCTCAAACTAAGCAACTTCTGCACCGCTAAAAATAAACCAACAAAGTGAAGAGACAACCCACAGATTGGGAGCAAATATGTGCAAACTATGCATCTGAGACGGGATTAATAACTAGAAGTATAAGAAGCTCAAACAACTCAATAAAACAAATGATTTAATTGAAAAAGGAGCAAAAGACATGAAATTTCCCCACATACGAAAAAGTGCTCAGTATCACTCATCATCAGAGAAACGCGAATTAAAATCAAAGTGAGTTTTCATCTCACCCCATTAAAATGGCTTTTAGGCCGGGCGAGGTGGCTCACGTCTGTCATCCTAGAACTCTGAGAGCCCGAGGTGGGCGAATCTCATAAGGTCGGGAGTTTGAGACCAGTCTGACCCACATGGAGAAACGCTGTCTCTACTAAAAATACAAAAATTAGTCGGGCGTGGTGGTGTGTGCCTGTAATTCCAGCTACTCGGGAGGCTGAGGCAGGAGAATCGCTTGAACCTGGGAGGTGGAGGTTGCGGTGAGCCGAGATCGCACCACTGCACTCCAGCCTGGGTGACAAGAGCGAAACTCCATCTCAAAATAAAATGAAATAAAATAAAATGGCTTTTAGCTGCAAGACAGGCAAAACAAATGCTGGCAAGGTGGTAGAGAAAGGAGAACCCTGGTACCCTGTTGGTAGGAGTGTAAATTAGTACAGCCATTACGGAGAAAAGTATGGAAGTCCTTTAAAGAACTAAAAAGAGGTTGGATGAAGTGGATCATGCCTGTAATCCCGGCACTTTGGGAGACCGAGGCGGGCACCTCAGTTGAGGTCATGAGTTTGAGAGCAGCCTAGCCAACCTGGGGAAACCCCATGTACACTAAAAAAAACCAAAAAGTATCCCGGCATGGTGGCGTGCACCTGTAATCCCAGCTACTAGGGAGGCTGAGGCAGGAAAATCATTTGAACCCAGGAGGCGGAGGTTGCAATGAGCCAAGATCACATCACTTGTACTCCAGCCTGGGCACAGAGGGAAACTGTCTCAAAAACAAAAACAAAACAACAAACGAAAAACTAAAAAGAGAACTTTCATAGTATCCAGCAATTTCACTACTGGGTTTATATCCAAAGGAAAGTAAATCAATGTATCGAAGTGATATCTGCACTCGTATGATTGGTGCAGCACTCTTCACAGTAGCCAAGATGTGGAGTCAACCTACCTGCCCATCAGTGGATGAATGGATAGAGAGAATGTAGTACATACGCACAGCGGAGACTACTCATCCATAGAAAGAATAACATCCTGATATTTGCAGCCACATGGATGGAACTGGAAGTCATTACAAATATTCTCATTTCTCACCCATATACAGGAGCTAAAAGGTGGATCTCATGAAGATAGAGAGTAGAATGGTGGCTACCAGAGGCCAGGAAGAAAAGGGTGGAGGATAAAACAAACAAACAAAAAATTTATATGTATGTATTTATGACCACTAGACCTTACACTTAAAATTGGTAAACGTGGCCGGGCGCGGTGGCTCATGCCTGTAATCCCAGCACTTTGGGAGCCTGAGGCGGGTGGATCACGTGGTCAGGAGTTCCAGAGCAGCTCGACCAACATGGTGAAACCCCCTCTCTACTAAATATACAAAAAGTAGCCCGGCGTGGTGATGGGCGCCTGTAGTACCAGCTACTCAGGTGGCTGAGGCAGGAGAATCGCTTGAACCCAGGAGGCGGAGGTTACAGTGAGCTGAGATTGTGCCACTGCATTCCAGCATAGGAGACAGAGCTAGACTCCACCTCAAAAAAAAAAAAATGTTAAAAGTGGTAAGCTATATAGGTATATTTAACCTCAATGAATATTTTTTCAAACAAAAAGAAAAGGATGTAGGGGTTGCTGGTGATGACATCTCTGTGTGGGTGAGAGGCCAGGAAGGGCTTCTGGGAAATGGGTAAGGTTGAGGGGCTGAGGGAACCTCTGATCTCCCCAAACTGAGCCCAGTCTCCCCTTCTCTGGGTCTCTCCTGACCGCTTTCTACATCTGCCTGGGTTTCTGGAGCCCTAATCGGAGGCCTCCATGCAGGCCATGCAGGAGGGTTTGGAGGTGCTGTGTGTGCCATCCTGCGCCCTGATCCCTCCCTCACAGGCATGCTGCGTCTTCTCTCTGCATCTGTCCATGCTTCTCTCCATCATCAGCAGGAAGCTCCTCAGCTAAGGCTCTAGGATCATAGGACATGGGACAGATATGGGGTTTCCTCACCTGTGACGGAAACAAGCAGTGGATCACTCGAGTTTGACCACTCGTAGGGAGCGTCACGGAAAGAGCCGAAGCATCTGTAGGTCCCTCCGTGGGTGGCAGGGCCCAGAGGAAAGTCGGCCTGGAATGTTCCGTTGATGCTGCGCACTGCAGGGAGCCTACGTTCATGGGCCTCCCCTTCCCTGGATAGATGGTACATGTCATAGGAGCTCCGGGAGCTGCAGGACAAGGTCACATTCTCTCCTGCCTGAACCGTGGGGCCCGGCTGGGCTGAGAGAGAAGGTTTCTCATATAGACCTGGAAGGAGAAGGGGCAGTTTCCTCAGGGGGGATCTTCCTTGTCACAGCTCCCCTCACACCTGACCTGAGAACTCACTCCCCTGCTCTATGGCCTAATGCTCTCTTTCTCTGTCTCACCCTCCACCCTATCTCTCTTCATGTCTATTTCCTCCTTCCACCTTCTCTGTCTCTGTAGGTCTCTGACCTCACTTCCCTACCTCTAGTTATGTTTTCCTTTTTTGGATTGTTTTATTCTCTCTGGCTCTCCTTGGATTGGTTGACTTGATGTTACTTTTTTTAACTCTGAGTTTCTCAGTTTGTGTCCCGTTCATAACTTTCTGCATATTTCTATCTATTATCTATCAATCCATCTATTTATCTATTCGGTGCCTATCTACAAATTCTCTACCTGTCATCTATATCTATATATCATCTATTTATCTATCAATTGTCTATCCGTCAATCATCTATTATCTATATATATGTATCATCTCTCTCTCTCTATTATTTCTCTCTTTGTCTTCCTCTCTATCTCTATGTATTATCTATCCATCTATCTTCATCATCATCATCTCTATGTATCATCTATTAATGAATCAATCAATCATCATCTATGTATCTATAACCTATTATCTATCATCTACCTATATATCATCTATCTATATCTATCCATCATCTATCTGTATCTATCCATCTATCATCTGTCTTGCTCTGCCTCTCGGTCTCTCTAGTTCTCTTTGGAATCTCTGCAATTCATCCCCACATCTCCATCTTTCTATGCCCTTGTGCCTCGCCCTCAGGACTCTAATTTTAGTGGTTTTCTCTGCTCTCTTCCATCATTCTCTCCACTTCTCTGCCCTCTTCTCTCTCTTTATGTGTCTGTGAGTCTCTCAATCTCCTTCCTCTGGCTCTTTCTCTGTGTGTTTATGTCTTTGCTTTTTGGTGTCCCTGATTTCTCTCTGTGCTTCTCAGTGATCCTCTCATATGTGATATGTGGGGTTATTTGGAATGTGAGCCTCAGAATCCAGTCTGGAGACCACAAGTTCACACAGCATACAGGGGTTGGTGTTCTGGGGCCATGATATTTTGGGACGATTATTCTCCATTGCATGGAAGTCAGAGGTGTCAGAATAAGCATGGCATCTGTAGGTGCCACAAGGCCTGAGGCCACAGGGCCCAACTCAGGTCAGAAATATGGGTGTCCTTGGGTTCTCCTGGTAGAGAACACTTTGTGGAGGTAAAACAGAAATGAAACTTCTAACCTGTGCCAGGTCTCTGAGCAAAGTCAGCATGGAAGGACACCTCTGTCTGGGACATGTCTGTCTGTCTCCTTTAACTCTTTCTGTCTTTTCTAACTCCCGGTATGGCCCCTGTGTTTGTCCTCTGTTATGACACCTGGTCTGTACTTGTGTCTCTTGTTTCTCTGTCTCTGTTGGCACAGACCTCACCAAGTCAGTCTCTCTCCATAAGAATACCAAGCTCATCTTCCTTACAACCACCTGGGTCTCCAAGTCCTGGATCATTCACTCTGCATCCCAATGACAATGAGAAGAATGTCTGGACACTCTCACCTATGATCACCATGTCCAGAGGGTCACTGGGAGCTGACAACTGATAGGGGGAGTGAGGAACAGAACCGTAGCATCTGTAGGTTCCTGCAAGGACAGGCATCATGGGACCAATGGAGAAGTTGGCCTTGGAAACCCCATCATGGTGCTCTCCAATGAGGTGCAAAGTGTTGTTAAACTTCCCCTCTCTGTGCAGAAGGAAGTGCTCAAACATGACATCCGACCAACATTGCAGGATGACTGTCTCTTCTGATTTCACCAGGTGACCTGGGAGGGCCAGGAAGGAAGGTTTTCTGTGGACTCCTAGGAAGAGAGGTTGTGAGTTTAGAAGGTGTCTCTCTTTATCATCCCATCCATGGCACCTGGAATGAGTGAGACTTCCCTTCGCTGGTGTCTGTCTCTCTGCTTCCTCTCTGTGTCTTCATGTTCTTTTCTGTGCCCATAACTCCTGGTGCAGGTCCTTCCATCTGTCTCCCTCCCTCTTCTCTGTCCCTCTGTCTCTAGTAGCTGTGATTCCCTTCCCACTGGGCTCAGCCTCATCTCTTGGGCTGTTGTATCTATTTCACACTAATGTCTTTCTTACTGTCTATGTGGGAGTGGAAGAGGAAGCAGGATAGGCTGCACGTCCCGGCTCTTAGCAGCCTGGTTCAATCTCTTTTGGACGAATTGGAATCCTTGGCAGGAGGTATGAACTGATCAGTAAGGCAGGCACCAGTGTCCACACACCCTGTTCCTGGTGGGGACTGGGAGCCACTCTTGCCATGTCTGTGCCTTCTCCATGGTGCCAGTTTCCATAGGCTGGCTCCTCGTGCTGATTTGAGGAGTATCAACCCCTCCCTATGTGGATGGAGCCTGGTGGTGGCATCATCATCCCACCCTTGCTGATCTCGGTGTAGCCAACCTTCTCTTTGTTTGGTTTCTTTAATTAATTAATTAATTTTGGAGACAGAGTCTCACTCCTTCACCCAGGCTGGAGTGAAGTGGTGTGGTCTACGCTCACTGCAACCTCTGTCTCCTGGGTTCAAGCGATTCTCCTGCTCTCAGCCTCCCGAGTCGCTAGGATTACATGCACCTGCCACCATGCCTGGCTATCCTTGTGTCTTTTCTTAACTTGTCCTTGACCTGGGTTCCAGTGTTGGTTTCCTGTTGCTGCTGTAGAAAATTATCAGAAGCATGGCAGCAGGAGAGAGCACACTGACCCCCTCCGATTCTGGAGACAGAAAGCGGACCCTGTTTTTCGAGGGCTAAAATCAAGGCATCTGCAGGGCTGTGTTCCCTCTGGAGACTCAGGAGAATCAGTTACTTGACTTTCCCAGCCTCTATAGGCCACCTGCATTCATGGCTTATGGCCTTCATCCACCTTCAAAGCTAATGGAGTCTCCCACTACGCTGCTCTAATCCCCACTCTCCTCTTCCTCCTCCTTTCATGTGGACACTTGTGATTATATTGAGCCCACCGGGACAGTCCAGGCTGTCTCCCCATCTCAAGGTCAACTCATCAACAACCTGAGCTCCATCTTCCCCTTCAGTCCCTTCCCCTATAACATAAATAGTCACAGACTCCAGGGATTAGAATGCAGTCATCACTGGGGACACTTATTCTTCCCACCACAGCACCCATTTCCCTGTATTCAATCCCCCTTTACCCCAAATACAGTTAGGGCCTGCATGATGGGACCCTCAAGGACATGCCTACCAGAAGCTCTGGGATTCAGGAGGTGGGACAAGGAGAATCCCAGACAGGAGCCCTCTGACCTGTGACCATGATCACCAGGGGGTTGCTGGGTGCCGACCACCCACTGGGGGAGTGTGTGTGTGAACCCCGGCATCTATAGGTCCCTGCATGTGACGGGGTCACAGGGCCCATGAAAAGGCTTTTCCAGAATATTCTGTTGTACAGCTCAGGGACAGGCACCCCATCATCCTTGTACAGACTGAAGTTGTTAAACCCAAGATTAGAGTGACACTGAAGAGTCACATGTTCTGGAGGCACCACAAGGCTGGGCCAGGTAGAAAGCAAGGGCTTGTCCTGACCACCTTGGGGTGAAGGAGGCGCCGCCTTAGAGAGGAGGATGTGGAGCTGTGCCTCCCTCCCTGTGCTCAGAAGATTCTCCCCACTTTCCACATTTCTATGGCTGCTATCACACCTTGGTGCCTAGGGCTAAAGGAAGGACCCATCCCACAAAGACAAGGTGTCTCCGTACAACAAAAGTGTCAGCTGAGAACTTTGAGCAAGTGCTGAGTAAGAGACTCCTACTAGATTTTAATACTGTAAGATTACTGACATAAAACAACACAGGGTAGACATGAAGTGGAGGGCATGTCCTTTGAGAATGGAATATCAGCAGTTGCCTGAATGAAAATAAAAAACTTAGCCCCCATCAGAGGATTTGGAATGTCAGGGCCATGGCTGTGGTTTCCCACCTCTTCTGGTAGAATGACAGCAGCCACACTGCAGCCCCTACCGTCATGGAAACGCTGAAGTGTGTGAGTAACACCTTTGTCCTCAGAGGATCTGCTGTTCCTACCACTTCCCCACCACACAACCCAGCTTTGAACACCCTAGTCCAACCCTGGTCCCCACACAACTTGACTCTGCCAAGGGGTTGAGAGGCCAGGGAGGCAAGGTCGGAACTGTGGGCCGAGCACCCCAGGGTCCCCTCTTCCTAGTTTATGAGAGACTCCCTGACAGGACTTCCCTCCCGTTTCAGGAAAATCCTCTTATGTGGGGAGATGACACCCTAAGGTTTGGAGAAGGACTTACCCTCCTGTGGCCAGGCCCCCTGCAGCAAGAAGAACCCTGGAAAGAAAGATCATGATGGAAGATCCATTTGCAGGCAAACAAGGCCTTCCTTGCTGCCCCCACTGGGCTGTGAGTCTTGATAGCCAGCCCCTTCCTGGGCCGAAGGTAAACTCACCATCAGTGCCTACCTGCACCCAAGAACAGTGCTCTCGGCTGTACAGAGACCCAGCCTCCAGGCCCATATCCCGACCCCAAGCCCATATCTCCACTCCAGGCCCATATCTCCACTCCAGGCCGATATTTCCACCCTAGACCCATATAGCCAATCCGGGCCCACATCTCCAATCCAGGCTCAGATCTCCACCCTCGGCCCATATCTCCAATCCAGGCCCATATCTCCACTCCAGGCCCATATCTCCACTCCAGTCCCATATCTCCTCTCCAGTCCCATATCTCCACTCCAGGCCCATATCTCCACCCCAGGCCCAGATCTCCACCTCCAGGCCCATAACTACACTCCAGGATCATATCTCCACTCCAAGCCCATATCTCCACATCAGGCCCATATCTCCACTCCAGTCCCATATCTCCACACCCAGGCCCATATCTCCATTCCAGGCCCATATCCCCATCCTAGGCCCATATCTCCACCGTAGGCCCAGATCTCCACTCCAGGCCCATATCTCCACTCCAGGGCCATATCTCCACTCCAGGCCCATATCTACACACCAGGCCCATATCTCCACCCCATGCCCATGTCTCCACTCCAGACCCATATCTCCACCCCACGCCCATATCTCCACTCCAGGCCCATATCTCCAACCCACGCCCATATCTCCACCTCCAGGCACATATCTCCACCCCACGCCCGTATCTCCACTCCAGTCCCATATCTCCACTCCCGGCCCATGTCTCCACCCCATGCCTATATCTCCACTCCAGTCCCATATCTCCACTCCAGGCCCATATCTCCACTCCAGACCCATATCTCCACTCGGCCCATGTCTACACTCCAGGCCCATATCACCACCTCCAGGCCCATATCTCCACTCCAGGCCCATATCTCCACCTCCAGGCCCGTATCTCCACTCCAGACCCATATGTCCACTCCAGGCCCATATCTCCACTCCAGGCCCATATCTCCACTCCAGGGCCATATCTCCACTCCAGGCTCATATCTCCACTCCAGGCCCATATCTCCACTCCAGGGCCATATCTCCACTCCAGGCTCATATCTCCACTCCAGGCCCATATCTCCACTCCAGGGCCATATCTCCACTCCAGGCCCAGATCTCCACCTCCAGGCCCGTATCTCCACTCTAGTCCCATATCTCCACTCCAGGCCCATATCTCCACCTCCAGGCCCATAACTTCACTCCAGGCCCATAACTCCACTCCAGGCCCATATCTCCACCTCCAGGCCCATATCTCCACTCCAGGGCCATATCTCCACTCCAGGCTCATATCTCCACTCCAGGCCCATATCTCCACTCCAGGGCCATATCTCCACTCCAGGCCCAGATCTCCACCTCCAGGCCCCTATCTCCACTCTAGTCCCATATCTCCACTCCAGGCCCATATCTCCACCTCCAGGCCCATAACTTCACTCCAGGCCCATAACTCCACTCCAGGCCCATATCTCCACCTCCAGGCCCATATCTCCACTGCAGACCCATATCTCCACTCCAGGCCCATATCTCCACTCCAGGCCCAGATCTCCACTCCAGGCCCAGATCTCCACTCCAGGCCCAGATCTCCACCTCCAGGCCCCTATCTCCACTCTAGTCCCATATCTCCACTCCAGTCCCATATCTCCACCTCCAGGCCCATAACTTCACTCCAGGCCCATAACTCCACTGCAGACCCATATCTCCACTCCAGGCCCATATCTCCACTCCAGGACCATATCTCCACTCCAGGCTCATATCTCCACTCCAGGCCCGTATCTCCACCTCCAGGCCCATAACTTCACTCCAGGCCCATAACTCCACTCCAGGCCCATATCTCCACTCCAGTCCCATATCTCCACTCCAGTCCCATATCTCCACCCTAGGCTCCTACCTCCCCTCCAGGTTCCTATCTCTCCTCCAGGTTCCTCTCTCCACTCCAGGTTCCTATCCCCACTCCAGGCCCATATCTCCACTCCAGGCCCAGATCTTCACTCCAGGCCCAGATCTCCACTCCAGGCGCAGATCTCCACTTCTAGGCTCATCACTCCATCTCTAGGCCCAGATCTCCACTCCAGGCCCATAACTCCACCTCCAGGCCCATATCTCCACCTCTGGGCCCAGATCTCCATCCCCACGCTCCCTCCCTCTATTCCCTTCCAGGACTCACCAACACACGCCATGATGATGACCATGAGCGACATGGTGCTGCCGGTGCAGACAGGCGGCCGCGCCCCAGCTCAGCTCAGCAGCACACAGGATGTTATTTGGCGCCCTGCCCATGCAGTTTACATGTTGACCACATCATGGGAGGGTGACGTACGCAGGCTTTTTCTACCTTGCATGAGGCCCAGTGGGTGCTCGCTCAAGAGCGGAACATGGCTTCCTGGAAATTGCTCTCACTAGAATTGACACCTCGCGTCCTTCACTATGACCAACTCAAAACATGTCTTAGATCCAACCTCCCAAACATGAGATGCCTAAAATCTGTGCTAACATGAAAGACTTTTCATGAATTTTTATTGTTTTTATCTGAGATTCGAACTCTTCTTCCTGTGTAATATGCAAAATATCTAATAGGTATTATTAGTGTTTTCAGAGTCATTGTGACTAATAAACCATTAGAATTGTTCATGCTTGTATTTCTAGTATTACAGCAGAACCAGTTCAAATGATTTAAATTCCCAGGGAAGGATTATGCAATTATTTACAATCTTAGAATTGTACTTTATCAGCAAAAACCACACATGTAAATTCTGGATTTTTGTAGTTTTATCTATAATTTGTCTCATGACTCAAGATTTCAGAGTCCCAACTTTGGAGTTTGCTCTCTCTCTGTCTCTCTGCCTCCCTCATTTTAAATTTTACAGAAATATCCAGTAACATAATGCTATAGAAAATCAAGTTTCCCCCAGCAGGTCGGGAAGCCGAGGTGGGCGGATCAACTGAGATGAGGAGATTGAGAGCAGCCTGGCCAACATAGTGAAACCGTGTCTCTGCTAAAAATCCAAAAATTAGCCGTGCCTGGTGGCAGGCACCTGTAACGCCAGCTACTCAAGAGGCTGAGGCACGAGAATCGCCTGAACCTGGGAGGCGGAAGTTGCAGTGAGCTGAGATTGCTCCACTACAGTCCCGCCTGGGCGACAGAGCAAGACTCCGCCTCAAGAAAAAAAAATAGCAAGTAGCCTATAATAACAAATTAGAGGGCTCTGGCTACTAAATTTAAAGGGTTTTATAAGGCTACATGAAGTGCAGCATCCTCAAGAGTGTGGACACAGAGAGCCCCTTAGCAGAAACAGTGTCTAAAATACATCCGTGTACACACAGTCCCTTTAGAGTTGACAAAGGCTGCCGTGTGGTTTAAGGTGGCATAGAATGTCTTCTTAATAAATAATATTAAACCAAAGGGTTACACGTAGGAAAAAATAAATCTAAACTTATTCTCACACTATAAAAACACTTCTTACTTTTTATCTAGTTATTGTACATTTTTTATGATTTATATTTAAAATTGAGAAATAAAAGTCATATACGGTCATCCTTTACTATTCGTGGGTGATTGGTTTCAGGATCTCCACTCAGGTACCAAAATCTGCAGATGCTCAAGCCTCTTACATAAAATGACACAGCATTTGGATATAACCCATGCACATCCTCCTGTATACATGAAATCATCTCTTGATTACTTATAATTCCTGATACAGCCTACACACTGCCTCATTTGTGTCCATTCAACATAGTTTTGCATTTTGAAACTTTGTGGACATTTTCTCTGAATATTTTTGATTTACACTTGGTTCAATAAACACCTGTAAACCCCACAGATATGGAGGAGCGACTGTATATTTATAGTATGAAATATGATGTGTTGATATGTGTCCCCGTGGAGATGAGACTAGCAAGGCTTATGACTCTACAAATGTTTCATCGTGGAATGACTCTGCCAGCTTTCCAGGTTGCAGAGAGTAAGAATATCACTTGTTCATGTGATTCACGATCCTTGGAACCTCCTATGTGCTGCATCTTTGGATGGAAATTGGAGTCCCAGAGACAAATGAGGCTCCACCCTGCTTCCAGAAGCTCAGAATCCAGGGGTGAGAACCCAGCGGAGAACAGATGGGGTTATGTGGACATGGTAATGATAACAGCGGTTTCTTTCAGCGAATACAGTGTCACATTACCTGAAGCAATGAGGGCAGACATGTTTATTTGAAGAGGAGACAGCTACATTGAAATCACAAAAAATTTTATAAGTTTCACTGCTGACAGAAGGCTGGAAAATAGTCCGAAGAAAGGTGAAACAGCATGAGGGAAGGTGGAACAGCACGTGGGTAAGTGCCACGTCAAGAGGGAGCCTCTTGTATGTTTGGAATTGTGAGTTCCTCAGTGTGATTGCAGCCTCAAGTAGACTAGGAAGTAAGCCAGTTAGGTTGGAGAGGTGGGCAGGGGTCAAGTGAAATGGAGAACTGTGGGCTAAGCAAAGGAGTGTGTTTTCTTTCCAGCAGGCAGTGGGGACCTAGACATTTGTAAGCAAGAGAGAGGCACCAGATTTGTGGCGTGAGGAGGAGCGATGCCCTAAGATGAAGACTCACGCCTTCAGATTCCAGCTGCTGGTACATGGGAGCTGGCAACTCGGTTTTGAGACAGGGCTGTTGTCTCCCTAGAAGACGTCCTCAAGGCCTGACTGTGGTGCTCATGGGCAGGAGACAACTTTGGATCTGGGCTTAGCATTTGGAAGTTCCGTGTACAAGATGGTATCTGTAGGGGGTGTCTTGGGCCTCTGAGAAGGGCGAGTGATTTTTCTCTGTGTGAAAACGCAGTGATCCAACTGTGCGTATGTCACCTCCTGAGGGTCTTGTTCATCAGAGTCCTGGAGAGAGGGAAATGCTGAGTGAGGGAGGGAAATGCTGAGTGAGGGAGGGTGCTCACGTTTTCCAGGACTGTTTGGGAATAACACTAGCCACGAGGCTGGGCCGAGGAGCACCTACCTCGCTGTTGGCTGTTCTGTTCCCTGCAGGCTCTTGGTCCATTACAGCAGCATCTGTAGGAGACGGAAGTCAACAAAAGAGCTCGGAGGGCACTTCTGGGTCCTCATTTCATAAGCAGATACCAACAAACAGGGGGAGGCCATAGGTGCCTGAGGTCCCTCAGTTGCCAACAGCAGACTCAGACATTCTATCTCTCTGAGCTCAAGGACCCATCCCATGAATAGCTCTGAGTTCCCATCCCATTGATTCTGTCTCCCACTTTCTGCCTCTCATGGAACCTTCTCCTGGATGTGAGTGGCTGCAGGGGACATGAGGATACAGTTCAGAATCAGGCAACGGTCTGTGAGCTGAAGGCAGGGGCAGGGAGTCTGGTGCTCTCTCTAGAAAGTCCTGCCTCTGTGGCTCCTGTCTTGGGCCAGGGACCATCCTGCCAGTGAGGAACACACAGCTGTGTGCTCCCATCCTGCTTCCCCACATGGCCCTGAGCTCTCTGGCCTGTGCCCCGTGAGACTTACTTTTTTTGTTGGAGCACCAGAGATGAAGGAGAAAGAAGAGGAGGAGGATGAAGAGGATGATGACCACTGAGGTCCCAATCAGAATGTGCAGGTGTCTGGGGTTACCTGGAAGAAGAGGAGACACCAGTAAGAAGCTAATCATAGCAGTTTCTCTATATGAATTGTCTTGCATTTCTTGATTGACAGGTAACCACTTACAGCATCTCTTTCGGACAAGCACCCAGATGGCGGGAGACCTAGCTTCCTCCTGCTTTCTCAGTTATAGCTCTCATAGTAACCATGGAACGTGCTGAGGATACAACTACTTTAGTTGAGATGTTTGACCCCTTCAAACCTCACATTGAAATTTAACCCCCAGTGTGGGAGGTTGGGCCTCTTGGGAGGTGTTTGGGTCATGGAGGTGGATCCATCATGAACAGATCAATGCTGTCCCAAGGAGACGGGGTTAGCAAGTTCCCTCTCTATTAGTTCCTGGAGAGCTGGTTGTTAAAAAGAGCTTGGAAGCTCCATTGCTCCCCCTCCCCCTTGCTCCCTCTCTTGCCGTGTGATCTCTGTGGTCTCTGCACAGACAGACCCTCCTTCCCTTCTGCCAGAGTGGGAGCGGCCTGAGGCCATCATAAGAAATAGATGCTGGTGCCATGCTTCCAGTACAGCCTGCAGAATGGTGAGGCAAACCAATCTCTTCTTTAGAAGTTACCCAGGCTCAAGTGTTCCTTTAGAGCAACAAAAATGGACTAAGACAGCAAAGTCCTGAGATCAGGAGGATCGTCCCAGAACAGCCTGGGCTGTCTTCCTGTTCTTCCTGGAGGAGGACGTCATGCAGTGCTTTAGCTGAGTGCTTCCTGTGGCTCCAGGGTACAAAACCCAGGCTGGGCTGCTTTCTGGCTTCCCCCAGCTACACTGCAAATGGGGTGACTCCACATGTCTCGAGCAGCTTTTCTGAGCCTTGGGGAACTGGCTCACATTGAAATGTAGGCTTCTGTTGTCACTCGCTGCTTATCTGTTAGTAATGAACCTGCCTATGTAACGTATTCTCTGTGTGTTCTGTCTCCCTGGAGTGACGGTGAGTGATAGGAATTGGCATAGGCCCAGGTGCAGTCCAGGAGGTGTTTAGAGTCTTCTCTGGGAAGACTGGACTGGGATTGATACACAGCGAATGTGCTTTAGGATTTCTACATCCACGGCATTCTTGAGTTAAACAACTTGCATTCTCCAAGAAAAGGAAACAAAAGTGAAATCAATATAAAAAAAGCGAAGTAGAATTCTCTTATGTCAAACAGCCAGAAAATAGTGTTGAAGCCCGTGTGAAATGTGCTACTCTTTGTGATCTCGGGAGACACATGTTAGGCTGCTGTTCTACCTCAGAGGCTGGGGGAAGGACCACCCCCTCGACTATCTATTGCTTCAATACCACCTGTCCTCCTGTGAATTAGTAGGAAAGGGGAGCAGGAGCTAGTGCTGGTGCTGATCTCTCATTCCAAGATCTGGACTCACTCCAAGGAGTATTAGCATTTACCTCCCCATGATCTATCTGTATCTCCACAGGTGATTGGAAGTAGGGGTGAGATGGGGGATTTGGGTGAGGGGGCAAGTTTTTTTTGTGATGACCAGAGCACTTTCTCTATTCCAGGATTTGTGCTGGAGGATTCAGCGGGCTTTCACATTTTCTATATGATCTCATGCTCACAGAAAGCCAAATACGGAAGAGGTTTTAGGCTGATTGCCTAATGGATAAGATAAAGGATCAAAGAAGTAATTATAGAGAAATAGAAAAATGATGATGGGAATTCAGGTGCCTTTGTCATTCGTGTGTGTTTTATTATATTTATGCATTTCTTATTTTTATTTTTTGAGATGGAGTCTCCTTGTGTCACCCAGGCTGGAGTGCAGTGATGCGATCTCCACTCACTGCAACCTCCACCTCCTGGGTTGAAGTCATTCTCCTGCTTCATCCTCCAGAGCAGGAGCTGGGATTACAGGGATGCACCACCATGCTCGGCTAATTTTTGTATTTTTAGGAGAGATAGGGTTTCACCATGTAGAGATAGGGTTTCTCCATGTTGGCCAGGCTGGTCTCGAACTCCTGACTTCTTGGAATCCACTGGCCTTAGCCTCCTGCAGTGCTGGGTTACAGGAGTGAGCCACCGTTCACAGACTTGTATACTATGCTATAATAGGTCCCTTCATTTCCACCACCCCTCATATATCTGTCACTCCTTTGGCAGGTATTGATTTATGTGTAGGAGGAATAAATCTCAGAAAGAAATTAATTTAGCAAGGATTAAACAACTAGGAAACTCAAACCCAGCAAGCCCTCCCTGCAAATGATTCTACCTCCCAAACATAGCTTATATCCATCTGCTTCATCCACTTAGGGTCTAAATCAGCACCACATTTCACCAGTGGGGCGGCAATTGCCTTTTCCACTGTCTCCTAGATTCCAGTTACGCACCTGGGCCTCCCTTATTTTCATGTCAGTCACTATTAATCATGTAGGGATTCCTGGCTACCCCGAGGTGAATCCAATGGCTGTGAGTGTCAAACACACACTCCTTGTTGCTCCTTAGTTTCCTGTGTACCCAGTGTGCTCTCCGTCTCTCCACAGTCGTCTTGTCATTCTCCCCACCTCATTCCCAGCATTTGAGGCAGAGCCTCTTCCTTCCACATCAGATTGTTTTCAGCTTTCTGCCTTCACGGCTGACAGCTGTGTGTGGAAAATCCTTCCGCCAATCTTTCAGGGGTTCAATCCGTGTTTTTCATTAATGTCACAAATATCTGATTAGTGAGACCTTCTCTGTCACCCAAAATTATACACTCAGCATTATCTATTATTTATTTTGAATTCTGGCTGGGCAAAGTGGCTCACGCCTGTAATCCCAGTACTTTGGGTTGCTGAGATGGTCGGATCACTTGAGGTTGGGAGTTTCAGACAAGCTTGGCCAACATGGTGAAACATCCTCTCTACAAAAAATATACAAAAAGAATTAGCCGGGCATGGTGGCAGTTGCCTGTAATCCCAGCTACTCGAGAGGGTGAGGCAGGAGAATCACTTGGATCCAGGAGACGCAGGTTGCAGTGAGCCAAGATCGTGACACTGCACTGTAGCCTGGAAGACAGAGGGAGACTCTGTCTCAATAAATAAATGAACGAACAAACAAATAGATTTCATGCACAGATGCTTCCCAATGGATCATTCATTTATTGGTCCACTTGTGCATTCATTTTCTGTCCTCCCATTTAACCATCTGCAATATCAGTGTCCCAAGAGCAGAGGCCAAATGCATCTTGTTCACCGTTCGTGGAAGGCAGGAGAATGCTGTCCCACCCCAAAATGTCCCTGTCCTAGCCTCCATAGCTTGTGAATATCTTATTTTACATGGAAAGAAGGAATGAAGATTGCAGATGGAATTACGGTTGCTAGTCAGCTGAACTGAAAACAAGGGTATCCTGAATGATTTCCGGGAGATTATGATGGATTTTCATCTTGGTGAACCCAATAGAATCCCCAAGTTTTCAAAAGATAAGGAAGAAGGGAGAGCAGCATTCAGAGAAAGAGGTGTGGTAAGGAAGAAGGGTCTGAGTGATGCCATGTGAGATGTGACCAGTCTTTGTGGGCTTTGAGGAAGGAGGAAGGGGACCAGGAGCCAAGGAACTGGGAGCCTTTAGAAGCTGGGACAAGTGAGAAGCAGATTCTTGCCTGGAATCCTCAGAGGGAAGGCAGCCTTGCTGTCACCTTGATTTTAGCCCAGTAAGATGCACTTCCTACTTTGAGCTACAGCACTGTAAGATAATTAAAAAACCGTTTTGTTTTCACCCACGAATCTTGTGGAAATTTGTTATGGCAACAATAGGAAAGGATTCCAACTGCACAGCCTGAGCATGGGGCCGTGGCTGAATGAGTCAGTGAGTCGAAGTGTGCGTGCATGAGCTCTGTTCTCTGTTACGGCAAGGCTCTTGCTCTGCTGAGTCAGCCAGGGTTGCTTCATGACCAACAGTAATTCATTCCTTGGCAAGTGGAACTTCTCTAAAACACCTCGCCCTCATCAGATGTTCCCTTCCCTTCCCTCTCTCAAGTCCCCAGGAATTTATCCTCCAGTTAGGAATGCAGGAAGAAAAAACACTGCATGTTTCCTGAGAAGGATGTCAGATTGGCAATCATTCTTCTAGCTTGTAGGAGGTCTCACCTGCAGGACATTAAAGGTTAAGAGACTTCGCTGAGCCCTTTGGTGGCCCTAGATCCCTTTCACTGTTGGAGTGTCTGGAGTTCAGAGATGGTGGAAGACAGGCCCTCATTCACAGAGCTGGGAGGTTTGAGCCAACACTTGCATCCAAGGCTTCCACCTCCCCAGGTTTCCAAAAGCAGAGATAAGAGGGGTCCTTTACTCACCAGATTTGGAGCTTGGTTCTGTGGGTGAAGGCCAACTACTTGAAGGGTTTCCTAGAACATGGGACAGGAGAGATGTGAGGAAATGAGGGTGCTTGTCCTCTACTCAATGGAAATCTTTGAGGTTGGTTCATGGCCAACACTCTGTTATCTAATGTTGGACCCTGGGAGTCTTGGGATCCTCTTCTCCATAATTTTTGTGTGCGATGCCCACTGTCTTGAGACTTGAAGGTATAAAGAGAAAACAGGAGCATCACACTACCTGACTTAGAAATATGTTACAGAGCTGTAGTAAGCAAAACAGCATGACATTGGCATAAAGAAAGGCACATAAAAAATGAAACAGAATGGAGAACACAGATATAATCCATGCATTTACATCCAATGGCTTTTTTTGTGTGTGTGTGTGTTAGAATCTTGCTCTGTCATGCAGGCTGGAGTGCAGAGGTGCAATCTCAGCTCAATGCAACCTCCACTTCCTGGATTCAAGCAATTCTCTTGCCTCAAACACCCGAGTAGTGGTATTACAGGCACTGGTCACCATGCTCAGCTAATTTTTGTATTTTTAGTAGAGACGAGGTTTCACTCTGTTGGCCAGCCTGATCTTGAACTCCTGGCTTCAGGTGATCCACCCGCCTCGGCCTCCCAAAGTGCTGGAATTGCAGGTGTGAGCCACCATACCCAGCCCATTTAATGGACTTTGACAAAGGTGCCGAGAACTTACAATCAGGAAAGGACAGTCTTTTCAATAAATGGTGTGGGGAAAACTGGATATCTACATGCAGAGGAATAAAACTGCATCTATACCTGTCACCATACACAAAAATCAAATGAAAATGGATTAAAAACATGAGTCTAAGGCCTGAACCTATGAAACATGTAGAAGAAAATAATGGGGAAGACATTTGTCTGACGAAAGACATTTTGTTTAAAACCTTCAAAACACAAGTAATCAAAGCAAAAAATAGACCATTAGGATTACATCAAACCAAGCAACTTCTGCACCACAAAAGATAAACCAAGAAAGTGAAGAGACAACCGACAAAATAGGAGCAAATATTTGCAAACTATTCATCTGAGACGGGATTAATAACTGGAAATATAAGAAGCTCAAACAACTCAATAAAACAATTTAATTAAAAAACGAGCAAAAGACATGAGGAGACATTTCTCCACAAACAAAACATAGAAATGGCGATCACGTATATGAAAAAGTACTCGGCATCACTCATCATCAGAGAAATGTAAATTACAATCGCGATGAGTTTTCATCTCATCCCATTAAAATGCCTTTTAGGCCGGTGGCTCACGCCTGTAATTCCGGCACTTCAGGAGGCGGAGGTGGGCGGATCACCTGAGGTCGGGAGACCAGCCTGACCATCATGGAGAAACTCCCTCTCTACTAAACATACAAAAATTAGCTAGGCGTGGTGGCACATGCCTGTAATCCCAGCTACTTTGGAGGCTGAGGCAGGAGAATCAGTTGAACGCGGGAGGCGGAGGTTGCAGTGAGCTGAGATCACACCCTTGCACTCCAGCCTGGGAGACTATGAGTGAAACTCCATCTCAACATAAATAAATAAATAAAATAAAGTAAAGTAAAATGGCTTTTACTGCAAGACAGGCAAAACAAATGCTGGCAAGATGGTAGAGAAAGGAGAACCCTGGTACCCTGTTGGTAGGAATGTAAATTAGTACAACTATTATGGAGAAAAGTATGGAAATTCTTTAAAAAACTAAAAGGAGGCTGGGCATAGTGGCTTATGCCTGTAACTTCAGCACTTTGGGAAACCGAGGCAGGCACCTCACTTGAGGTCAGGAGTTTGAGAGCAGCCTGCCCAAAATTGGGATATCCCGTCTGTGCTAAAAAAATACAAAAATTAGCCAGGCATGGTGGCGTGCACCTGTAATCACAGCTACTAGGGAGGCTGAGTCAGGACAATCATTTGAACCTAGGAGGCACAGGTTGCAATGAGCCAAGATCTCACCACTTAGACTCCAGCTTGGACTAAGGAGGGAAACTCTTTCTCAAAAAAGAAAAAAAAAAAAAGAGAACTTTCATAGTGTCCAGCAATTTCACTACTGGGTTTATATCCAAAGGAAAGGACATCAGTGTATCGAAGTGATATCTGCACTCATATGACTGTTCCAGCACTGTTCACAGTAGCCAAGATGTGGAGTCAACCTACCTGCCCATCAGTGGGTGAATGGATAGAGAACTGTGGTACACACACACAGTGGAGACTACTCATCCATAGAAACAATAACATCCTGTCATTTGCAGCCACATGGATGGAACTGGAGGTCATTACAAAGATTCCCATTTCTCACCCACATGCAGGAGATAAAAGGTGGATCTCATGAAGGTGGAGAATACAATGGTGGACACCAGAGGCCAGGAAGGGAAGGGTGGAGGGTAACAAAAAAAAGAATATAGATGTATTTATTTATTTAGAAACAGAGTCTCTCTCTGTCTCCCAGGCTGCAGTGCAGTGGCATGATCTCGGCTCAGTGCAACCTCTGCCTCCTGGCTTTAAGTGCTTCTCCTGCCTCAGCCTCCCAAGTAGCTAGGACTACAGGTGCATGCCAGCATGCTCGGCTAATTTTTCTTGTCTGTTTAGTAAAGATGAATTTCCCACATGTTGGCCAGGGTGATCTCGAGTTCCTGATCTTAAATGATCCACCTTCCTTGGCCTCTCAAAGCGCCGAGATTACAACCGTGAACCACCACACCCAGCATATAAAGGTATTTATGACCACTAGATTTTACTTTTAAAAATGGTAAAGGTGGTAAATTATATAGTTACATTTAACCTCAATAAATATTTTTGAAAATGAAAAGAAAAGGGTGTAGGGGTTGCTGGTGATGATATCTCTCTGTGTGGGTGAGAGGCCATGATGGGCTTCTGGGAAATGGATAAGATTGAGGGGCTGAGGGAACCTCTGATCTCCCCAAACTAAGCCCAGTCTCCCCTTCTCTGGGTCTGTCCTGACCGCTTTCTCCATCTGCCTGGGTGCCTGGAGCCCTGATCGGAGGCCTCCATGCAGGCCATGAAGGAGGGTTTGGAGGTGCCCTGTCTGCCATCCTGCGCCCTGACTCCGCCCTCACACCTGCTGTGTCTTCTCTCTGCATCTGTCCATGCTTTTCTCCATCATCAGCAGGAAGCTCCTTAGCTAAGGATTTAGGATCATAGGACATGAGAGAGATATGGGCTTTTCTCACCTGTGACAGAAACAAGCAGTGGGTCACTCGGGTCTGACCACTCGTAGGGAGAGTGACGGAAAGAGCCGAAGCATCTGTAGGTCCCTCCGTGGGTGGCAGGGCCCAGAGGGAAATCTGCCTGGAATGTTCTGTTGACCTTGCGCACTGCAGGGAGCCTACGTTCATGGGCTCCCCCCTCCCTGGATAGATGGTACATGTCATAGGAGCTCCGGGAGCTGCAGGACAAGGTCACGCTCTCTCCTGCCTGAACCTTGGGGCCCGGCTGGGCTGAGAGAGAAGGTTTCTCATATGGACCTGGAAGGAGAAGAGGCAGTTTCCTCAGGGAGGTTCTTCCTTGTCATAGCTCCCCTCATACCTGAGCTGAGAACTCACTCCCCTGCTCTATGACCTAATGCTCTCTCTCTCTCTCTCACCCTCCACCCCATCTCTCTTCATATCTGTTTCCTCCTTCTACCTTTTCTGTCTCTCTAGGTCTATGACCTCACTTCCCCACCCTGAGGTATGTTTTCCCTTTTTGGATTGTTTTATTCTCTCTGACCCTCCTTGGATTGGTTGACTTGATCTTCCTTTTTCTTTAATTTTGAGTCTCTCACTTTCTGTCTTGTTCATAACTTTCTGCACATTTCTATCTATTTATCTATTTTGTGTCTATCTACAAATTATCTATCATCTATATTTATGTATCACTTATCTATCTCTCTATCAATTGTCTATCTGTCTATCTATCCATCAATCATCTATTATCTATATATGTATCATCTATCTCTCTCTCTATTACCTCTCTGTCTGCCTCTCTGTCTCTATTTATGTATCATCTATGTATATATCTATGTGTCTATCATCATCATCGTCATCTCTATGTATCATCTATCAGTCATCATCTATGTATCTATAACCAATCCATTATCTATCATCTACCTATTTATCATCTATCTACGTCTATCTATCCATCTATCATCTCTCTCTCTCCGTCTCCTTGTCTTTCTCTGCCTCTCAGTCTCTCTAGTTCTATTTGGAATCTCTGCAATCCATCCCCACATATTTATCTTTCTCTGTCTTTGTGTCCCTCCCTCAGGGTTCTGATTTTGGGGCTTTTCTCTCCTCCTTTCCATCATTCTCTCCATTCTGCCCTCTTTTCTTTCTTTTTATGTGTCTGTGAATCTCTTAATCTCCTTCTTCTGGCTCATTTTGTGTGTGTTTATGTCTTTGTTTTTTGGTGTCCCTGATTTTTCTCTGTGTCTCTCAGCGATCCTATCATATGTGGGATTATTTGGAATATGAGCCTCAGAATCCAGTCTGGGGACCCCAAGTTCACACAGCATACAGGGGTTGGTGTTCAGGGGCCATGATATCCTGGGATGATTACTCTCCATTGCATGGAAGGCAGAGGTGTCAGAATAAACACGGCATCTGTAGGTGGCACAAGGCCTGAGGCCACAGGGCCCAACTCAGGTCAGAAATATGGGTGTCCTTGGGTTCTTCTGGTAGGAACACTTTGTGGAGGTAAAACAGAAATGAAACTTCTAACCTGTGCCAGGTCTCTGAGCAAAGTCAGCATGGAAGGACACCTCTCTCTGGGACATGTCTGTCTGTCTGAGTGTCTCCTTTACCTCTTTCTCTCTTTTCTACCTCCCTGTATGGCCCCTGTGTCTGTCCTCTGTTATGACACCTGTTCTGTACTTATGTCTCCTGTTTCTCTGTCTCTGTTGGTACAGACCTCACCAAGTCACTCTCTTTCCATAAGAATCCCACACTTATCTTCCTCATGACCACCTGGGGGTTCCAAGTCCTGGATCATTCACTCTGTGTCCCAGTGACAATGAGAACAATGTCTAGACACTCTCACCTGTGACCACGATGTCCAGGGGATCACTGGGAGCTGACAACTGATAGGGGGTGTGAGTAACAGAACCGTAGCATCTGTAGGTCCCTGCAAGGGCAAGCATCATGGGACCGATGGAGAAATTGGCCTTGGAGACCCCATCATGGATCTGTCCAACGAGGCGTGAGGGGTCCTTAGAGATCCCCTCTTTGTGCAGAAAGAAGTGCTCAAACATGATATCTGACCAACATTGCAGGATGACTCTCTCTCCTGATTTCACCAGGGGACCTGGGTGGGCCAGGAGGGAAGGTTTTCTGTGGTTTCCTAGAAAGAGAAGTTGTGAGTTTAGAAGGCATCTCTCTTTATCATCCCATCCATGGCACCTGGAATGAGTGAGGGTTCCCCTCCCCGTGTCTGTCTCTCTCCTCCCTCTCTGCATCTCCGTGTCTTTTCTGTGCCCATATCCCCTGGTGCAGGTGCCTCCATCTGTCTTCCTCCCTCTTCTCTGTCCCTCTGTCTCCAGTAGCCCCTGACTCCCTTGCCACTGTGAAGACAGCCTCATCTCTTGGGCTGTTGTATCTGTTTCCCACTAATCTCTTTCCTGCTGTCTATGTGGGGGTGGAAGAGGAGAGGCTGCATGTCCAGGCTCTTAGCAGCCTGAATCAATCTCTTTTGAACAAATCCCCAGTTCAAGTGATTCTCTTGCCTCAGCCTCCCCAGTCGTTGGATTACTCGCGCCCACCACCACATCTGGCTATCCTTGTTTGGTTTCCTAACTTGTCCTTGACCTGGGTTCCTGTGTTGGTTTCCTGTTGCTGCTGCAGAAAATTACCACAAACATGGCAGCGGGAGAGAACACACTGACCCCTTCCACTTCTGGAGACAGAAATTGGATCCAGTTCTCCCTGTGCTGAAATCAAGGTGTCTACAGGGCTGCGTTCCCTCTGGAGAATCAGCGAATCAGTTCTCTTGACTTCTCCAGCCCTTAGAGGCCACCTGCATTCTGTGACTAGTGGTCTTCCTCCACCTTCAAAGCCCGCAGTGGCTGATAGCGTCTCCTTCCCACTACACTGCTCTAATCCCCACTCCCCTCTTCCTCCACCTCTCATGTGGACCCTTGTGATTACACTGAGCCCAGTGGGACAGTCCAGGCTGTCTCCCCATCTCAAGGTCAACTCATCAACAACCTGAGCTCCACCTTCCCCTTCAGTCCCCTGCCCTGTAACATAAATAGTCACAGGCTCCAGGGATTACAATGTAGCCATCATTGGGGACAGTGATTCTTCCCACCACAGCACCCATTTCCCCTGTATTCAATCTCCCTTGACCCCAAATACAGTCAGGGCCTGGGTGATGGGACCCTGACGGACACCCCCACCAGAAGCTCTGGGATTCAGGAGGTGGGACAGTGAGAAGCCCAGACGGAAAGCCTCTGACCTGTGACCATGATCACCACGGGGTTGCTGGGTGCCGACCACCCAGTGGGGGAGTGTGGGTGTGAACCCCGACATGTGTAGTTCCCTGCATGTGCTGTGGTCACAGGGCTCATGTTGAAGCTCTCCTGGAATAATCTGCCATGGAAGATGGGAACGTGGATTCTGTCTTCTTTGTATAGCATGAAATTGTTAAACCTATGACGATAGTGACACCGAAGAGTCACGTGTCCTCCTCGAGGCACCACAGCGCTGGGCCAGGCAGACAGGAAGGGCTTGTCCTGACCACCTGGGGGAGAAGGAGGCACTGCCTTAGAGAGGAGGATGTGGAGCCGCCCCTCACTCCCAGTGCCCAGAAGATTCTCCCCATTTCCACTTTCTAAGGCTCCTACCACACCTGGGTGCCCAGGGCTACAGGAAGGACCCATCCTGCATAGACATGGCGTCTCCCTACAACAAGTGTCAGCTGAGAACTTTGAGCAAGTGCTGGAGAAGCAACTCTTACTAGATTTTAATACTGCAAAATTACTCATATAAAACAACACAAAGTAGACACGGCATGGAGGGCAAGTCCTATGTGAATGGAATATCAGCCAATTGATGAACTGAGCCCCCATCAGAGGATTTGGAATGTCAGGGCCATGGCTGTGGTTTCCTCACCTTTTCTGGTAGAAAGACCACAGCCACACTGCAGCCCCTACCATCACGGAAACGCTGGAGGGTGTGAGTTACACCTTTGTCCTCAGAGGACCTGCTGTTCCTAGCACTGCTTCCCTCTCTTTCTCTGCTGCTGACACCACTTCCTCCCTGCACACCCATCTTGGAGCACCCTAGTCTCACCCCAGTCTTCACAGAGCTTGACTCAGGAAAGGGAAAGAAAGGCCGGGGAGGGCAAGGTCAGAAATGTGGGCCGAGCATCCGAGGGTCCCCTCTTCCTAGTTTATGAGAGACTCCCCGACAGGACTTCCCTCCCATTTCAGGAAAATCCTCTTATGTGGGGAGATGACACCCTAAGGTTTGGGGAAGGACTCACCCACGTGTGGACCGGCCCTCTGGACCAAGAAGAACCCTAGAAAGAAAGATCATGATGGACCATCCATCTGCAGGCAAACCAGGGCACCCTGCTGCCCCCACTGGGCTGTGCGTCTTGGCAGCCAGGCCCTTGCTGGGCTGAAGGTAAACTCACCCTCGCTGCCTACCTGCCCCCAGGAACAAGGATCTCGGCTGTGCAGAGACTCAGCCTCCAGGCCCAGATCTCTACCTCCAGGCCTAGATCTACACAACAGGCCCAGATCTCCACTCCAGGTCCGTATCTCCACTCCAGACCCATATCTCCTCTCCAGGCTGATAAGTCCACTCCAGGCCCATATCTCCACTCCAGGCTCCTATCTCAACTCCAGGCTCATATATCCACTCCAGGCTCATATCTCCACTCCAGGCCCATATTTCCACTCCAGGCTTCTATCTCCTCTCCAGGCCCATATCTCCTTTCCAGGCTTGTATGTCTGCTCCAGGCCCGTATCTCCACCCCAGGCCCATATCTCCACTCCAGGATCATATCTCCACTCCAGGCCCAGATCTCCACTTCATGCCCTTAACTCCACCTCCGGGCCCATAACTCCACCTCTAGGCCCATATCTCCACTCCAGGCCCATATCTCCACTTCAGGCCCATATCTCTACTGCAGGCCCATAACTCCACCTCCAGGCCCATATCTCCACTCCAGGCCCATCGCTCCACTTCTAGGCCCATCACTCCACCTCTAGGCCCACATCTCCCCTCCAGGCCCATCCATATCTCCCCTCCAGGCCCATATCTCCACCCCAGGCACATATCTCCACCCCAGGCCCATATCTCCACTCCAGGCCCAGATCTCCACTCCAGGCACATATCTCCACCCCAGGCCCCTATCTCCACTCCAGGCCCAGATCTCCACTCCAGGCCCAGATCTCCACTTCAGGCCCATAACTCCACCTCCAGGCCCATAACTCCACCTCTAGGCCCATATCTTTACCTCCAGGTCCAGATCTCCATCCCCGCACTCCCTCCCTCGATTCCCTTCCAGGACTCACCAACACACGCCATGCTGACGACCATGAGCAACATGGTGCTGCCGGTGCAGACAGGCGGCCGCGCCCCAGCTCAGCTCAGCAGCGCACAGGATGTTATTTGGCGCCCTGCCCATGCAGTTTACATGTTGACCACATCATGGGAGGGTGACGTACGCAGGCTCTTTCTACCTTGCGTGAGGCCCAGTGGGTGCTCGCTCAAGAGCGGAACATGGCTTCCTGGAAATTGCTCTCACTAGAATTGACACCTCGCGTCCTTCACTATGACCAACTCAAAACACGTCTTAGATCCAACCTCCCGAACACGAGATGCCTAAAATCTGTGCTAACATGAAAGACTTTTCATGTATTTTTTTTGCTTTTATCTGAGATTCAAACTCTTCTTCCTGTGTAATATGCAAAATATCTAATAGGTATTATTAAGGTTTTCAGAGCAATTGTGACTAATAAACCATTAGAATTTTTCATGATTGTATTTCTAGTATTACAGCAGAACCAGTTCAAATGATTTAAACTCCCAGGGAAGGATTATGCAATTATTTACAATCTTAGAATTGTACTTTATCAGCAAAAATCACAACATGTAAATTCTGGATTTTTGTAGATTTATCTAGAATTTGTCTCATGTCCCAAGATTCCAGAGTTCCAACTCATGGTTTGCTCTCTCTCTGTCTCTCTGCCTCCCTCATTTTAAATTTTACAGAAATATCCAGTAACATAATGCTATAGAAAATCAATTTCCCCAGCACTTTGGAAGCCGAAGTGAGTGATCAACCGAGGTCAGGAGTTTGAGACCAGCCTGGCCAATATAGTGAAACCATGTCTCTGCTAAAAATACAAAAATTAGCCATGCCTGGTAGCAGGCACTTGTAATGCCAGCTATTCAAGAGGCTGAGCCACGGAATCCCTTGAACCTGGGAGGCGGAAGTTGCAGTGAGCCGAGATCGTGCCACTGCACTCCAGCCTGGGCAACAGAGCGAGACTCTGCCTCAAGAAAAATAAAAAAAGCATAGCAAATAGCCTATAATAAATAACTAGAGGACTCCAGCTACCAAATTTTAGGGGTTGTATAAGGCTGCATAAAATGCAGCATTCTCAAGAGAGTGGACAGAGAGAGAGCCACTGAGCAGAAAACAGTGTCTAAAATACATCCGTGTACACACAGTCCCTTTATAGTTGACAAAGGCTGCCATGTGGTTTAAGGTGGAATAGAATGTCTTCTCAATAAATAACATGGGCCCAAGGGTTACACATGGAGAAAAATATATCTAAAAGTATTCTCACACTATAAAACACTTGTTTATTTTATCTTGTTATTGTAATTTTTTTATGTTTTATATTTAAAATTGAGAAATAAAAATTATATACAGTCATCCCTCACTATTCGTGGGTGATTGGTTTCAGGATCTCCACTCAGATAGCACAATCTGCAGATGCTCAAGCCTCTTACATGAAATGGCACAGCATTTGCAAATAACCCATGCACATCCTCCTGTGTACATGAAATCATCCCTTGATTATTTATAATTCCTGATACAGCCTACACACAGCTTCATTTGTGTCCATTCAACATAGTTTTGCTTTTTGAAACTTTGTGGATTTTTTCTCTGAATATTTTTGATTTATATTTGGTTCAATAAACACCTGTAAATCCCACAGATACAGAGGACCGACTGTATATTTATAGTATGAAAGATGATGTGTTGATATGTGTCCCCGTGGAGATGAGACTGACAAGGCCTATGACTCTACAAATGTTTCATCATGGAATGACTCTGCCAGCTTTCCAGGTCTGCAGAGAGTAAGAATATCACTTGTTCATGTGATTCACGATCCTTGGAACCTCTTATGTGCTGCATCTTTGGATGGAAATTGGAGTCTCAGAGACAAATCAGGCTCCACCCTGCTTCCAGAAGCTCAGAGTCCAGGGGTGAGAACCCAGTGGAGAACAGTTGGAGTTATTTGGACATGGTAATGATAACACTGGAAACTTTCAGCCAAAAAAAGAGTCACCTAAAGAATGAAGGCAGACATGTTTATTTGAAGAGGAGAGAACTACACTGAAATCAAAAAAATTTTATAAGGTTTGCTGATGCCAGAAGGCTGAAAAATAGTCTGAGGAAAGGTGGAACAGCACGAGGGAAGGTGGAACAGCACGTGTCTAAGTGCCGTGTTAAGAGAGAGCCTCTTGTATGTTTGGAATTGTGAGTTCCTCAGTGTGATTGCAGCCTCAAGTAGACTAGGAAGTAAGCCAGTTAGGTTGGAGAGGTGGGCAGGGGTCAAGTGAAATAGAGAATTGTGGGCTAAGCAAAGGAGTGTGTTTTCTCTGCAGCAGGCAGTGGGGACCTTAGACATTGGTAAGCAAGAGACAGGCACCAGATTTGTGGTGTGAGGAAGAGTGATGCTCTAAGATGGAGACTCACGCCTTCAGATTCCAGCTGCTGGTACATTAGAGCTGGCAAGCTGGGTTTGAGACAGGGCTGTTGTCTCCCTAGAAGATCCCATCAAGGCCTGACTGTGGTGCTCATGGGCAGGAGACAACGCTCTGGGCTCAGCATTTGGAAGTTCTATACACACGCTGGTATCTGTTGAGGGTCTCTTGCTCCTCTGAGAAGGGCCAGTGATTTTTCTCTGTGTGAAAATGCAGTGATCCAACTGTGCGTATGTCACCTCCTGAGGGTCTTGTTCATCAGAGTCCTGGAGAGAGGGAAATCCTGAGTGAGGGAGGGTGTTCACATTTTTCAGGACTATTAGGGAATAAGACTGTATCCATGAGGCTGGGCTAGGAGGACCTACCTCCCTGTTCACTGTTCTGTGTCCCGCAGGCTCTTGGTTCATTACAGCAGCATCTGTAGGAGACGGAAGCAATCAAAACAGCTGGGAGGGCACTTCTGGGTCCTCATTTCATGAACAGATACCAACACACAGGGGGAGGCCATAGGTGCCTGAGGTCCCTCAGCTGCCAACAGCCAGACTCAGACATTCCATCTCTCTGAGTGCAAGACCCCATTCCATGAATAGCTGTCAGTTCCCATCCCATTGATTCTATCTCCCACTTTCTGCCTGTCATGGAATCTTCTCCTGGATGTGAGTGGCTGCAGGGGACGTGAGGATACAGTTCACAATCAGGCAATGGTCTGTGAGCTGAAGGCAGGGGCAGGGTGTCTGGTGCTCTCTCTAGAAAGCTCTGCCTCTGGCTCCTGCCTTGGGCCAGAGACTTTCCTGCCAGTGAGGAACACACACCTGCGTGCTCCCATCCTGCTTCCGCACAGGGCCCTGAGTTCTCTGGCCTCTGCTTCGTGAGGCTTACTTTTTTTTTTGGAGCACCAGCGATGAAGGAGAAAGAAGGGAAGGATGGTGAAGAGGATGATGGCCACTGAGTACCTAATCACAGCATGCAGGTGTCTGGCGATACCTGGAGGAAGATGAGAATCCAATAAGAAGCTAACCATAGCAGTTCCTCTTTGTGGATTGTCTCTCATTTCTTGGTTGCCAGGCAACCACATAAAACACCTCTTTAGGACAAGCACCCACGAGGCGGGAGACCCAGCTTTCTCCTGCTTTCTCCGTTATAGTTTTCATAATAACAATAGAATGTGCTGATGATACAACTGCTATTGTTTCAATGTTTGACCCCTCCAAACCCCACTTTGAAATTTAATCCCCAGTGTGGGAGGTTGTGCCTATTGGGAGGGGTGTTTTGGTCATGGGGGTGGATCCATCATGAATAGATTAATGCTGTCCCCAGAGGACGGGTTTAGCAAGTTCTCCCTCTATTAGTACCCTGGAGAGTTGATTCTTAAAAAGAGCTTGGAAGCTCCATCACACCCCCTTTCTCCCTCTCTTGCCATGTGATCTCTGTGGTCTCTGCACACGCAGGACCCCCTTCTCTTCTGTCAGTGTGGGAGCAGCCTGAGGCCGCAGCCAGAAATAGATGGTAGTGTCCTGCTTCTAGTACAGCGTGCCGATCAGTGAGCCAAACACATCTCTTTTCTTTAGAAGATACCCAGGCTCAAGTGTTCTTTTATAGCAACAAAAATAGGCTAAGACAGCAACATCCTGAGATCAGGAGGAACGTCTCAGAACAGCCTGGGCTGTCTTCCTGTTCTTCCTGGAGGAGAACATCATGCAGTGCTTTAGCTGAGTGTTCCCTGTGGCTCCAGGGTACAAAACCCAGGCTGGGCTGCTTTCTGGCTTCCCCCAGCTACAGTGCACATGAAGTGACTCCATGTGTCCTGAGCAGTTTTTCTGAGCCTTGAGGGACTGGCTCACCCTGAAAGGAAGGTTTCTGTTGTCACTCGCTGCTTATCTATAAGTAATGAACCTGCCTATGTAATGTATTCCCTGTGTGTTCTGTCTCCCTGGAGTGATGGTGAGTGATAGAAATTGGCACAGGCCCAGGTGCAGTATGGGAGGTGTTTAGAGTCTTCTCTGGGAAGACTGGACTGG
This sequence comes from Homo sapiens, assembly GCF_000001405.40. Classification (NCBI taxonomy): domain Eukaryota; kingdom Metazoa; phylum Chordata; class Mammalia; order Primates; family Hominidae; genus Homo; species Homo sapiens. Next base: position 91,031 of record NT_187671.1, on the reverse strand, counting down.
GATTGATACACAGTGAATGTGCTTTACAGTTTCTACATCCACAACCCTCTTGACTCAAACAAATTACATTCTCCAAGAAAAGGAAAAAACAGTGACATTGAAATCAACATAAGTGAGGTTGAGCTGTCTTATATCAAACAGCCAGGAAATAATGATGAAGCTCGTGGGCAACATGCTACTTTTGTCATCTTGGGAGTCAGATATTAGGCTGCTGTTCCACCCGAGAGTCTGGGGGAAAGACCACCCCCTCCATCATCTGTTGCTTCAATACAGCCTGTCTTTCTGTGAATTACTCCAAAAGGTGACCAGGAGATAGTGCTGGCACTGGTCTCTGAGTCTACGATCTGAACTCCAAAGAATATTAGTTTTTACCTCCCCATGATCTATCTGTATCATTAATGTGATTGGAAGTAGGGGTGAGGTGGGGGATTTGGGTGAAGGGGCAAGTTTTGTGCCATGAACAGATCACGTTCTCTATTCCAGGACCTGTGCTGGTGGGTTTCACATTTTCCATATGATCTCATGCTCACAGAAAGCCAAATAAGGAAGATGTTTTCGCCTGATTTTCTTATGGATAGGATAAAGGATCAAAGAAGTCATTATAGAGAAATAGAAAAATGATGATTGGAATTGGTGTGCCTTTGTCATTCGTGTATGTTATATTATATTTATGTATTCTTTATTTTTATTTTTTGCCATGGAGTCTCACTCTGTCACCTAGGGTGCAGTGCAATGACGCGATCTTGGCTCACTGTAACCTCTCCCTCCCTGGTTGAAGCCATTCTCCTTCTTCAACTTCCTGAATAGCTGGTATTACAGGCACGCGCCACCACCCCCAGCTAGTTTTTGTATATTTTGTAGAGATGGGGTTTCACCATGTTGTCCAGGCTGATCTCGAACTCCTGATCTCACTTGATCCAGCCTCCTCAGCCTCCCAAAATGTTGGGTTACAGGTGTGAGCCACCGTTCAGAACCTTGTGTGTTATATTATAATAGGTCTCTTCCTTTGCACCACCCCTCATGTATCTCTCACTCCTCTGCCAAGTATTGATTTACATGTAGGAAAAATAAATCTCAGAAAGAAATCAATGAAGTGAAGATTAAACAATTAGGAAAAATCAAACCAGGCAAGCCCTCCCTGCAAATTACTCTACCTCACAAACACATCTTGTGTCCATCTTTCATTCATTTAGTGTCTAAATCAGCACCACATTTCACCAGGGGGGCGGGAATTGCCTTTTCCACAGTCTCCTAGATTCCAGTTATGCACCTGGGCCTCCCTTATTTTCATGTCAGTCACTATTCATCATGTAGGGATTCCCAGTTAGCCCCGAGGTAAGTCCAATGGCTGTGAGTATCAAACACACGCTCCTTGTTCCTCCTTAGTTTCCTGTGTACCCAGAGTGCTCTCTGTCTCTCCACAGTCGTCTTGTCATTCTCCCCATGTCATTCCCAGCATTTCAGGCAGAGCCTCTTCCTTCCACATAACATTGTTTTCACCTTTGTGCCTTCACGGCTGACAGCTGTGTGGAAAATCCTTCCGCCAATCTTCCAGGGGTTGATCTATTTTTTTCATTAAGGTCACAAGTATTATTTGATCAGTGAGAACTTCTCTGTCACCCGAAATTATACACTCAGCATTATCTATTATTTCTTTTAAAATACGGCTCGGCGCCTTGGCTCACGCCTCTAATCTCAGCACTTTGGGAGGCTGAGACGGGCGGATCCCTTAAGGTTGGGAGTTTGAGATAGCCTGGGCAACATGGTAAAACCTTGTCTGTACTAAAAAAAAATACCAAAAAAAAATTAGCCAGGCGTGGTGGGACATGGGTGTAATCCCAGCCTCTCGGGAAGCTGAGTGTAGAGAATCGCTTTAACCTGGGAGGTGGAGGTTGCGGTGAGCCGAGATCCCGCCACTGCACTCCAGCCTGGGGCACAGAGGGAGACACCGTCTCATAAAAACAACCAATCAATCAATCATTCTCATGCACAGATGCTTCCCAATGGATCATTCATTTATTGGTCCACTGGTGTATTCATTTTCTGCCCTCCCATTTAATCCTTTGCAATATCAGTGTCCAAGAGCAGAGGCCAAATGCACCTTGTTTACCATTTGTGGAAAGGATAAGAATGCCGCCCCACCCCAAAATGTTCCTGTCCTAGTCGCCATATCTTGTGAATATGTTATTTTACATGGAAAAAAGGAATGCAGATTGCAGATGGAATTACGGTTGCTAATCAGCTAACCTTAAAAGGAGGGTATCCTAGATGATTTTAGGGAAATTATGATGGATTATCTTGGTGTTTCCAATAGAATGCCAAAGTCCTTAAAAGATGAGGAAGAAGGCAGAGCAGCATTCAGAGAAAGAGGTGTGGACAAGGAAGAAGGGTCTGAGTGATGCCGTGTGAGAGGCGTGACCAGCCTTTGTGGACTTTGAGGGAGGAAGACGGGGACCAGGAGCCAAGGAATGTGGGAGCCTCTAGGAGCTGGGAAAAGTGAGGAAGCAGATTCTTGCCTGGAACATTCAGAGGGAAGGCAGCCTTGCTGTCACCTTGATTTTAGCCCAGTGAGATGATGCATTTCATACTTCTGAGCTACAGCACCATGAGATATTTTTTAAAAATGTGGTTTCCATCCACGAAGCTTGTGGAAATTTGTTATGGCAACATAGGAAAAAGTTCCACACTGCACAGTCTGAGCATGGGGCAGTGGCTGAACGAGTAAGTGGAAGTGTCATGTGCACGGATGAACTACGTTCTCTCTTACCGCAAAGCTCTTGTTCCACTAAGTCAACCAGGGTTGGATCATGACAGACAGGAGCTCATTCCTTGGCAAGTAGAACTTCTCTACAAACACACCACCCTCAAAAATGTTCCCCTTCCTTCCCCTTCTCAAGCCCCCAGGCATTTGTCCTCCCAGTTAGGAATGCAGGCAGAACAAACACAGCATTTTTCCTGAGAAGAATGTCTGATTTGCACTCATCCTTCTACCCTGAGGTCTCAGCAGCAGAAAATTAGAGATTAAGAGATTTCACTGAGCCCTGTGCTGGGCCCAGATCCCTTTCGCTGTTGGAGTGTCTGGGGTTCAGAGACAATGGAAGACAGGCCCACAATCACAGAGCTGGCAGGTGCTGAGCCAACGCTTGAATCCAAGGCTTCTACCTCCCCAGGTTTCCAAAAGCAGAGATAAGAGGGGTCCTTCACTTACCAGTTTTGAAGCTTGGTTCAGTGGGTGAAGGCCAACTACTAGAAGGGTTTCCTAGAACATGGGACAGGAGAGAGGTGTGGCAATGAGGATGCCTGTCTTTTCTACTCAATGGAAATCTTTGAGGTTGGTTCATGGCCAACCTTCTATTATCTAATGTTGGGCCCTGGGAGTCCTGGCATCCCATTCTCCATAATCATTGTAGGTGACACCAACTATCTTGAGACTTCAAGGTATAAGGAGAAAACAGGAGCATCACACTACCTGACTTAAAAATATGTTACAGAGCTGTAGTAAGCAAAACAACATGACATTGGCATAAAGAAAAGCACATAAAACAATGAAGCAGAATGAAGAACACGGATGTAATCCACCCATTTACATCCAATGGACTTTGACAAAGGTTCGAAGAATCTACAATCTGGAAAGGACAGTCATTTCAATAAATGGTGCAGGGAAAACTGGATATCTACATGCAGAGGGATGAAACTGCACCTCTACCTCTCACCATACACAAAAATCAGATGAAAATGGATTAATGACTTAAGACCTGAATCCATTAAATGTCTAAAAGGAAACACTGGAGAAATGCTCCAGGACATTTGTCTGAGGGAAGACATTTTGTTTAAAACCTCAAAAACACAAGTAATCACAACAACAACAAAAAAAATAGACCATTGGGATTATATCAAATCAAGCAGCTTCTGCACCGCAAAGGAAGCAACCAATGAAGTGAAGAAGAGAAAACCCACAGAATGGGAGCAAATATTTGCAAACTATGCATCTGAGATGGGATTAATAACTAGAATATAAAAGAAGCTCAAACACCTCAATAAAACTAATAATTTAATTATAAAATTAGTAAAAGACCTGAACAGACATTTCTCAATGAACAAAACATACAAATGAACATATATACATTGCATATATGAAAAAGTGCTCAGTATCACTAATCATCAGAGAAATGCAAATGAAGTCACAATGAGCTATCATCTCACCCCATTACAATGGGTTTTATCTCAGAGACAGACAAAACAAATGTTGGCAAGGTGGTGGAGAAAGGAGAACCCTGATACACTGTTGATAGGAATGTAAATTAATACAGCCATTACAGAGGAGAAGAATATGGAAGTTCCTTAAAAACTGAAAAGAGATTAGGCACTGTGGCTCACGCTTGTAATCCCAGCACCTTGGGAGGCTGAAGTGGGCAGATCACTGGAGGTCAAGAGTTCGAGACCAGCCTGGCTAACATGGTGAAACCCCGTCTCTACTAAAAATACAAAAATCAGCCAGGCTTGGTGGCGGGCACCAGTAATCCCAACTACTCGGGAGGCTGAGGCTGGAGAATCACTTGAATCCTGGAGGTAGAGGTTGCAGTGAGCCCAGGTGGTGCCATTGCACTCCAGCTTGGGCAACAAGAGTGAAACGCTATGTCAAAAAAACAAAAAGCATAAAACAAAACCTAAAAAGAGAACATCCAGAGGATCTAGCAATTCCACTAGTGGGTGTAAATGCAAAGAAAAGGACTTCAGTGTATTGAAGTGACATCTGCACTCCCATGACTGTTCCAGCACTGTTCACAGTAGCCAAGATGTGGAGTCAACCTACCTGCCCATCAGTGGATGAATGGATAGAGAGAATGTAGTACATACACACAATGGAGACAACTCATCCATAGAAAGAGTAACGTCCTGTCATTTGCAGCCACATGGATGGACTAGAGGTCATTACAAGGATTGCCATTTCTTACTCACATGCAGGATGTAAAAGGTGGACCTCATGAAGGTAGAGAGTAGAATGGTGGATACCAGAGGTTAGGAAGGAAGGGGTGGAGGGTAACAAAAGAAGAATATAAAAGTATTTATTTATTTATTTATTTAGAGACAGAGTCTCTCTGTGTCACCAGGCTGCAGTGCAGTGGCATGATCTCAGCTCACTGCAACCTCCTCCTCCTGGGTTTAAGCCACTCTCCCGCCTCAGCCTCCCAAGTTGCTGGGATTATAGGCGCCTGGCACCATGCCTGGCTAATTTTATTTTTTTTGTCTTTTTAGTAAAGATTGGTTCCCCCATGTTGGCCGGGCTGGTCTCCAGCCCCTGATTTTAAATGATCCACCTGCCTTGGCGTCTCAAAATGCTGAGATTACAGGCGTGAGCCACCGCACACAGCATATAAAGGTATTTATGATCCCTAGATTTTACACTTAAAAATGGTAAAGTTGATAAATTATATAGGTATATTTAACCTCAATCAGCATTTTTTCAAAGGAAAAGAAAAAGTGTAGGGGTTGCTGGTGATGACATCTCTGTGTAGGTGAGAGGCCAGGGTGGGCTTCTGGGAAATGGGTAAGGTTGAGGGGCTGAGGGAACCTCTGATCTCCCCAAACTGAGCCCAGTCTCCCTCCTCTGGGTCTGTCCTGACCACTTTCTCCATCTGCCTGGGTACCCGGAGCCCTTACTGCAAGCTTCCATGCAGCCCATGCAGGAGGGTTTGGAGGTGCCCTGTCTGCCATCCTGTGCCCTGATCCCACCCTCACACCATGCTGCATCTTCTCTCCACATCTGTCCATGCTTCTCTCCATCATCAGCAGGAAGCTCCTCAGCTAAGGCTCTAGGACCATAGGACATGGGACAGACATTGGCTTTCCTCACCTGTGACAGAAACAGGCAGTGGGTCACTCGCGTCTGACCACTCGTAGGGAGATCCATGGAAAGAGCCGAAGCATCTGTAGGTCTCTCCGTGGGTGGCAGGACCCAGAGGGAAGTCGGCCTGGAATGTTCCATTGATGCTGGGCACTGCAGGGAGCCTAAGTTCATGGGCTTCCCCCTCCCTGGATAGATGGTAGATGTCAAAGGAGCTCTGGGAGCTGCAGGACAAGGTCACGTTCTCTCCTGTGCGAACCGTGGGGCCCGGCCGGGCTGTAAGCGAAGGTTTCTCATATAGACCTGGAAGGAGAAGAGGCAGTTTCCTCAGGGAGGTTCTTCCTTGTCACAGCTCCCCTCCCACCTGAGCTGAGAACTCACTGCCCTGCTCTATGGCCTAGTGCTCTCTCTCTCTCTCTCACCCTCCACCCCCAACTCTTCCTGTCGATCCCTCCCTATGTGGTTCCAGCCTGGTGGTGGCATCAGCAGTGCACCCTTGCTGATCTCAGGGTAGCCAACCTTCTTGTTTGGTTTTTTAACTTGTCCTTCACCTGGGTTCCTGTGTTGGTTTCCTGTTGTTGCTGGAGAAAATTATCACAAACATGGCGACAGGAGAGAACACACTGACCCCTTCCACTTCTGGAGACAGAAATCAGACCCTGTTCTTCCTGGGCTACAATCAATGCATCTGCAGGGCTGCATTCCCTCTGGAGACTCGGGAGAATCAGTTCCATTGATTTCTCCAGCCCCTTCGTGGCTCGTGGTCTTCCTCCACCTTCAAAGCCCACAGTGGCTGGTGGAGTATCCCACGATGCTGCTCTAATCCCCATTCTCCTCTTCCTTCTCCACTCATATGGACCCTTGTGATTACACTGAGCCCAGTGGGAGAGTCCAGGCCATCTCCCCATCTCAAGGTCAACTCATCAACAACCTGAGCTCCATCTTCCCCTTCAGTCCCCTGCCCTATAACATAGTCACAGGCTCCAAGGATTACAATGTGGCCATCGATGGGGACAGTTATTCTTTCCAACACAGCACCCATTCCCCTGTATTCAATCCCCCTTTACCCCAAATATAGTTGGGGCCTGGATGATCGGACTCTGGTGGACACCCCCACCAGAAGCTCTGGGACTCAGGAGGTGGGACAAGGAGAAGCCCAGACAGGAGCCCTCTGACCTGTGACCATGATCACCAGGGGGTTGCTGGGTGCCGACCACTCAGTGGGGGAGTGCGGGTGAAAACCTCGACATCTGTAGGTCCCTGCGTGTGCTGGGGTCACAGGGCTAATGAGGAAACTGTTCCAGAATATTCTGTTGTAGAGCTCAGGGACAGGGACCCCATCTTTCTTGTACAGCGTGAAGATGTTAAACCCACGACGATAGTGACACCGAAGAGTCACGTGTCCTCCTTGAGGCACCACAGCGCTGGGCCAGGCAGAGCAGAAGGGCTTGTCCTGACCACCTTGGGGAGAAGGAGATGCCGCCTCAGAGAGGAGTATGTTGAGCTGCCCCTCCCTCCCTGTGCTCAGAAGATTCTCCCCATTTCTTCTTTCTAAGGCTCCTACCACACCTGGGTGCCTGGGGCTACAGGAAGGACCCATCCCGCATAGACGTGGCGTCTCCCTACAACAAAAGTGTCAGTTGAGAACTGAGCAGGTGCTGAGTAAGGGACTCTTACTAGATTTTAATACTGCAAGATTAGTTACACCAAACAACACAAAGTAGACATGGGGTGGAGGGTATGACCTTTGTGAATGGAATATTAGCTAATGCCTGAACCACAATAAACAACTGAGCTCCATCAGAGGATTTGGAATGGCAGGGTCGTGGCTGTGGTTCCCCCACCTCTTCTGGCAGAATGACAGCAGCCACACTGCAGCCCCTACCGTCATGGAAACGCTGGAGGGTGTGAGTTACCCTCTTGTCCTCAGAGGACCTGCTGTTCCTAACACTGCTACCCTTCCCTCCTCTGTCGGTGACACCACATCCCCCCACACACCCCAGCTTTGAGCACCTCAGTATCCCGCCTGGGCCACACAGAGCTCAACTCAGCCATGGGGAAGAAAGGCTGGGGAGGGCTAAGACAAAACAGAGGGCTGAGCATACCAGGATCTCCTCTTACTAGTTCATGAGAGACTCCCAGGATCTCCTCTTACTAGTTCATGAGAGACTCCCAGGATCTCCTCTTACTAGTTCATGAGAGACTCCCAGGATCTCCTCTTACTAGTTCATGAGAGACTCCCCCCAGGCCTTCCCATGGTCAGCCCATCAGCCCACCCTCTGTGCTGCCTCCCTCCCATTTCCGGAAAATTCACTTGTATTGGGGTGAAGATGGCAACCCATCATTTGGGGAAGGACTCACCCACGTGTGCCCACACACTCTGGTCCAAGAAGAACCCTGCAAAGAAAGATCATGATGAACTATTCATCTCGGCACCAACCTACCCTTTCCTCCTGAGCCACTGGGCGCCACGCTGGACTGAAAATTAACTCATCCTCACCACTCACTTGCTTCAGAACATGGCTCTCTGCTGGGGAGACACCCAATCTGCAGGCCCATAGTGTAACCCTGGTGCTCCTTCCCTTCCAGGACTCACCAAGACATGCCAGGATGATGACCGTGGGTGACATGGACATGGTGCAGCTTCTGCTGCCAGGACGCAGTGACTCGGCTCGACTGACCGGTGCAGAGGATGTGGTGAGGGGCCCGGATCGTGCAGTTGACACATTGACCACAACATGTGAAGGGGACATAGGTAGGCTTCTTCTACGTCATATGAGGTTCAAGTGGTGAGTCAGTCAAGGGAGGAATGAGGGTTTCTGAAAACTGCAGACTAGACTTGTCAGTTCACATCATGCGCAACGGCCAGGCTCAAAACACATCTCAGACTCACTTACCCCTGCACGGGACGATTGAATTCTGCACTCACATGAGGAACTTTTGATGTATTTTTTTTTGTTTCTACCTGAGATTCAAACTCTCCTTGATATGTAATATGCAAAATACCTAATAGGTTTTATTAACACTATAGAGCAATCGTATTAAATAAATCATCATAATTTTCCATGGTTGTATTTTTCCTGTTAAGCCAGAAACAGATAAAATGATTTAAATCCCAGTAGAAAAGACTATATAGTTATTTCGCATCATAGAATTCCACCTTATTAGCAAAAACACAATATGTCAATTGAAGGTCTGGTCGTGTTATCTAGAATTTGTCTTATGACACAAGAGTCCAAATTCACAGTTCCCTGTCTCCCTTTTTGTCTCTCTGTAACGTGTGCTTTTTTTCTCCCTGTGTTGTTTGTGTGTCTTTCTTTCTCTCTCTCATTTGAGGAAAAAATATCAGACTGATAACATCCTCCAACTTGATACTGGAATATTGCAATAACTGAAGGTTGAAATCTACACATTTAATGTGCTGTCATTCTTACAAATGTCTCTTATTTACACCTACCTTTCTGGAGTTTGTAAGAACTTTTTCACTATGCATTTTAAATTTGTAAAACTCATAATTTTTAAAAAGGGATGGGTCTCACTGTTTGCCCAGGGTGGCCTTTACTCATTCTATAAGGCTGGCATCACCCTGATACTAAAGACAGAAAAGAATATTAAACAAAAGAAAACTACATGCCAATATTCCTGATGAGCATAGATGCAAAAATCCACAAAAAATACTAAGAACTGAATCCCGCAGCATATCAAAAAGTGAATCCACCATGATCAAGTCAACTTTATTCTTAGGGTGCAAGGTTGGTTGAACATACACAATCAATACATGTGATTCATCACCTAAACAAAACTAAAAACAAAAACCACATGATCTTCTCAACACACATGTAGAACATACTTTTTACTAAGCATTTCTTCATGTTAAAAGCCCTCAACAAGCTAAGCATTGAAGAAACATAACTCAATATAATAAGAGCCGCCTATGACAAACCCACAACCAACATCATACTGAATGAGTAAAAGCTGGAAGAAGTTCCCTTCATAAGTGAAACAAGACAAGAATGCCCACTCTCACCATCCTATTCAACATAGTACTTGAAGTCCTAGACAGAGCCATCAGGAAAGAGAAAGAATTATAAGGCATCCAAGTAAGAAGAGAGTAGCAGAGAGAGGTAGTCAAATTACCTCTGTTTGAAGATGAGATAATTTCTATACCTAGAAACCCCATAGTCTCTGCCCAAAGGCTCCTACATCTGAGAAACAAACTTCAGCACAGTTTAAGGGCAGAAAGTCAATGTACAGGCTGGGTGTGGTGTCTCAGCCTGAAATCTAGCACTTTGGGAGGGCGAAGCGGGTGGATCACCTGAGGTCTGGAGTTCGAGACCAGCCTGGCCAACATGGCGAAACCCTGTCTCTACTAGAAACACAAATATAGCCGGACGGGGTGGTACGCAACTGTAGTCCCAGCTGCTTGGGAGGCTGAGTCAGGAGAACCGCTTGAACCTGGGAGGCAGAGGTTGCAGTGAGCGGAGATCACGCCATTGCACCTCAGCTTGGGCAACAACAGTGAAACTGCGTCTCAAAAAAAAAGCCAAAACAAATTTAATTAATGAGGAAAAGGGTATTTGTGGTGTCCATCATGATGTTTTCATATAGGTACACATTGTGGAATGGATGAAACAACCTCTTTATCTATTTATTTTTTCACATACTTGTATGTTTTGTGTGTGTGGTGAGAACATGTAAAATCTAATCTCTTAGTAATGTTCAATACACCATATGTTGCTATTAAATGGAGTCACCAAGACATACAATAGATCTCTTGAACCGATTTCTTCTAACTGAAATTTTGCATCCTTTGACCAACATCTCTTCAATCTCTCTCCTTCCCAGGTTCTTTCGACGACCATTTTACTGTTCCTCTAGGTTCCACTTCTTACACTCCACACATGAGATCATGTGGCATTTGTCTTTCTGTGCCTGGATTGTTTCCCTTAACATAATGTCCTCTAAGTTTTTTCACATTGTCACAAATGAGAGGACTTCCTTCTTTGTTGTAAAGGTTGTATAGTACTTCATTACGTTCCTATCGTATACCACGTTTTCTTTGTCCATGCACCCATAGATGGGCAGTAAGGGTGATTCCACATCTTGGCTGTTATGAATAATGCGGCTGTAAACATGGGAATGCAGATATCTCTTCAACATACTGATTCCACTTCCTTTGGATACATGCGCAGTAGTTGGATTGCAGACACATATGGGAATTCTATGTTTAATTTTTTCAGGAACTTCCAGACTGTTTTCCATAATGGTTGTGCTAATTTACATTCCCATCAACTGCATACAAATGTTCCCTTTTCTCCACATCCTCGTTAATGCTTGTTATTTTTTATGTTTTTGATAATGGTCTTTTTTTTTTTTTTTTGAGACTCAGTCTTGCTCTGTCACCCAGGCTGGAGTGCAGTGGCACAATCTCGGTGTACTGCAACCTCTGCCTCCTGGGTTCAAGCGATTCCCCTGCCTCAGTCTCCAGAGTAGCTGGGACTACAAGTGTGCGCCACCAAACTCTGCTAATTTTTGTATTTTTAGTAGGGATGGGATTTCACCATATTGGCCAGGCTGGTTTCGAACTGCTGACCTCAGGTAATCTCCCTGCCTCGGCCTCCCAAAGTGCCTGAATTACAGGCATGAGCCACCATGCCCAGACTGTTAATGGTCATTCTAAGAGGTGTGAGGTGATATCTCATTCTAGTTTTAATTTTTATTTAGCTGATGTTTAGTAATGCTAATCATTTTTTCATATACCTTTTGGTGATTTGTCTTATTCTTAGAAATGTTTATTCAGATACTTTGCCCATTTTTTTAAGTTGGGTTATTTGATTTCTTACCATTGAGTTGTTTGAGTTTCTTATATATTTTGGATATTAATTCCTTATTAGATGTATGGGTGCAAATATATTCTCCCATTCCATAGGTTGTCTTTCCACTTGTTGAGTTTTTTTTTTTCTTTGCAGAAACTTTCAATTTGATATAATGTTATTTGTCTACTTTTGCTTTTGTTGCCTGGGCCTTTGGGTTAATATCCAAAATGGTTTTGCCCAAGCCAGTGGAGTTTTCCCTTGATTTCTTTTAGTAGTTTTTTTTTTTTTTAAGATGGAGTCTCACTCTGTTGCCCCGGCTGGAGTGCAGTGATGCGATCTCGGCTCACTGCAACCTCTACCTCCTGGGTTCAAGTGATTCTCCTGTCTCAACCTCCCGAGTAGCTGAGATTACAGGCACCCACAACCACACCCAGCTGTTTTTGTATTTTTAGTAGAGGCGGGATTTCACCATGTTGGCCATGCTGGTCTTGGAATCCTGACCTTAGGTGATCTGCCCGCCTTGGCCTCCCAAATTGCTGGGATGATAGTCTTTCACCTTACATTTAAGTCATTAATCTATCTTGAGTTGACTTTGTATGTTTTGTGAGGCAAATGTCCACTTCCATTCTTCTGCATGTCTCCCAATCCCATTTATTAAAGAGACTGTTCCTTCTCCATTGTGTGTTCTTGATACATCCCAAAAATTGTTTGACCCTAAATGCGTGCATTTTTTTTCCTGGGCTATGAATCACTTCCATTGGTCTATGTGTCTGTTTTTATGCAAGTACTGTGTTGTTTTAATTACTGTAACTTTGTAATGTAGTTTGTGTTTAGGTAATGTGATGCTTCCAACTTTGTTCCTTTCCCTCTAGATGGCTTTGGTTATTTGAGATCTTTTGTGGTTCCACATGAATTTTAGGACTGTTTTTTCTATTTCTGTAAAAAAAAATGTCATTGGATTTTTGATAATGGTTGCATTGAATCACTTTGGATAGAATGGACATTTTAACAACATTAATCCTTCTGATCCGTGAACATGGAATATCTTTCGATTTATTTGTTTATTTCTTGAGTTTTTTCATCAATGTTTTATAGCTTTTGCATACAGATCTTTCTACTCCTTGGGTGAATTTATTCCTGCATGTTTTGTTTTCTGTAGTTATTGCAAATGGGCTTATTTTCTTGTAAACTTTTTTGGATAGTTTGTTGTTAATGTATAGAAACTTTGTTGTTGTTGTTGTTGTTGTTGTTTTGATGATACCCATCCTAAGGGGTATGAAATGGCATCTGGTGTAGTTTTAGTTAGTATTTCCCTAATGATTCGTGATGCTGAATATCTTGTCATGCGTATGTTCTTTGGAGAAATGTCTGTTTCAGTACTTTGCCCATTTTTGAATTGAGTTTATTGTGATTGAGTTTTAGGAGTTGTCTGTATATTCTGGATGTTAATCCCTTACAGGTGGTGTGGTTTGAAAACATTTTCTCCCATTCTGTGGGTTGTCTTTTTACTTTGATAATATCGTCTTAAAAGTTCTTTTTCCTTGCCATGTGAAGTAACTGATGTTGTCTTTTGAGTCACAATATTTCAAAATTTTCATAAAGTCTAACTTGTTTATTTTTTCTGTAGTAGCCTGTGCCGTTGTTGTCACATCTAAAGAATCACTGCCAAATCCGATGTTGTGAAGTTTTCCTTTGTGTTTTCTTCTAAGACTTTAATTAAATTTTATTTGTCAATATTTAGGACTGACAAAAGCTTTTTAACATTCCTGGCACCATCTCAGTTATTGATCTACTCCCAAGATGGATCATTTCAATTAAAACATGTAAAGCATGACCTCACCTGAATGTGTTTGAACTTGCTCTTCTCCCTTTCAAATCGACTCCCTCACTTACATAGTTTGTGTTCAAATGTCAACAAATAAAACATAAAAAGAAATCAATCTTTTCATAGACCCTTTATCTAAAATAGAATAGTAGGTGCCATGACATTTCATCCTTTCATCTTGAATTATTTACTTTTCTACATGAACCAATCCATTCTTCTGTGTGCATGTGTGTGTGTGTGTGTGTGTAGTTTATCTGTCTACATATAATGTAAACACCAAAAAATAACAGACATTTAGTAATTTTCAAATGAGACTTCAGGAATTAACAATGGCTTGCCATTTTTAGTGTGTTATTATTATTATATTTAGATGAACAGAATTGCCTCAGGAACATGGCCAGGGGCTCATAGTCCAGGAGAACTGTGGCCTGACTCAGGTACATTTTACCTGCAATAACAGCAATTGCAGGTCACTGGAGTCCATCACAATTGGCTGGAGACAAATGTAAGACAAGAATATTTGCAGTTTCCCCAGACTGACACAGTTGCAGGTTCCCCGAAGTAATGAGTCCTGAGACACCTCCAACAAGAGCTAGAAAAGGTATCACTTCAAGAGGAGTTGCAGCCTACTCATTTTAGACAAATGGAGCAAAATTACAGTATCACATCTTTTCCTTTCTCCTTCATAGAATCTGGATGAACAGAACAGAAAGAGTTAATGGAATATAAGATTCCAATTCTCTGGCATGAGAAAATAGACAAGGAAAGGAAGATTCATCTTCATCACATCTCAGACATGCTTGGACACAGGGTCCAAGCACAAAAGAGAAACACATACTTCTTCCCATCCACACTGGGATCCAGGGTCTTCTCCCTCCTGTCAGGCCAGAACTGAGTCTCCACTCCCCAATTTAGTTCCCAGAGATGAAGCCCAATTTTCCTCTGTCTCAAGCTTTGAAGGCCAGCTTTAGCGTGTTCACCATGGATGAATGAAGGTGAGGTCAGAGGTTTGGGAAATGGTCAAGAATGAGGTGAGAAGAGAGCTGTGGAGGCATGGCCCCGGGGAGCTTGGTACCCCCCCATATCCAGAGCCTGTCTGGTCCAGGAGAGTTCCCAACCCTGTGAGCACCAACTCCGGATATTCTGGGCAGTGACCCGAGGGACAGCCTCTTATGAATACAGGCTGTTTTCCTCCAGTGTCTGCTGTGAAACCAGGATGTACAACATGGCCGTGTTCAACCCAACAATGGACTTAGGATTTTGCTGTACGCCAAAACTCAGTGTCCAACTTCCACTCTGTTTAGCTGGAAAAAGAAGGGGTTTGTTCCCATACATCTCACTCCTGTGTTCCTCTTTCAGTCTCAAAGCTCAGATGAAAACAATGAGTGTCACTTATTGTCAATCCTCTTCCCTGCCTTTTCCACACTCATCAGTATTACCGTTTACATTGAGACTAAAGATGGCCAATCACCACTTTTCTTCGGAAAAATCAACCTGATGTTGTACCTACTTTTTTAGAGGTGGAATCAACCTACCCTAAGATGCCAACTACATTTTACTGAATGGACTTTTGTGGATCCCCTCGATGTATATAGTGGCACCTTGAGGTATCATCCCTGTCTTTAGCAAATGAATATTATCCCAAGGACAATATTTCATCACAATTATTCGGGATGGACGAGTGGATATTGTGGTAGCAAGAACATTACTAAAAGTCACAGCTGATACAACACACTTGAAACCCATCTGGCCAATCTCCCACAGACAGAATGTCGCGCCATTCACTCCAGCCAGCTTCAGTCATGTTTCTTCCATTTCCACCTGTGGCCCCTCATGTCTCCACCAGGTCTTAGCCAGCATTGCCAAAAGAGCCAGGAAGACCAGACCAGCCACAACAATCCTGATGGAACTCTCCACAGTATAGTTCTGGAGAACAGGGGCTGGAGGGTGGGGGTAAGATCAGAGACCTTTCCATGTGGGCCAGGCCCCTCTCTCCCCAGAAGCTCTGAAATGGAGCTATTTCCCCATCTCACCTTCATAAAATTCTTCCTGTCCAGAACCCCTCTTCTCCCTATATCATCATGAGCACCTTCAGAAGTCTTTTGCCACAAAAAGAAATTTCTTTTGAAGATATACATTTTTTTGTACATTTCAAAAATGTTCCCAAACTAATTCTCCAAAGCAATAAATGTTTGTGTGTATTGCTGGGTAGGTTATGCATACAAGGAAAGGAAGCATAGTGAGTCTGATTTGGCAGAGGAAACATATGTGGAAATTATATCATTTACTCTCTTTACAAAATTAAGTACAAAATTGAAAACACTGGTAAGAAAGAATGAGCTATAGAGAAAGAAAACATCTGAGATGCTTGTTTCCAAGATGGCTGACTAAATGCTTTTCTGGCATGTCTCATCCACTTAGAAGAACGAGCAGAATCCAGAACAAAAACCATATGATCATCTCAATAGACATAAAGAAAAGCATCTGAAAAGAAATTCAACATCCTTACCTGATGAAAACCCTCAAAAACTTAGGCATAGAAAGAACATACCTCAAAATAATAAAAGCCATAGATGACATATCTAGAGTCAACATCATACTGAACAGGAAAAGTTAAAAGCACTCCTCTGAGAACTGGCACAAGACAAGGACACGGACATCCACCACTTCCTATCAACATAGTACTGGAAGCCTTGTCAGAGCTATTGGGCAACAGGAAGAATTAAAAATCCAAATTAGAAAAGAGGAAGTAAAATTATTTTTATTTCTGATGCTATGATCTTAAATCTAGAAAATCCTAAAGACCCTGCCAAAAATTCTTATGATTGATAAATGAACTAAGTAAAGTTTCAGAATACAAAATCAATATGTAAAAGCCGGTAGCATTTCTCTACACCTATAATGATCTAGCTGAGAACCAAATCAAGAAGGCAATGCCGTTTACAATAGATACGCAAAATTAAAACACTCAGGAATACATTTAACCAAGGTGGTGAAAGAGCTGTACCAGGAAAGGTGTAAGACACCAATGAAAGCAATTATAGATAATACAAAAAAAAAAAAAGAAAAAAAATCCCACGCTCATGGATCATAAGAATTAATATTGTTAAAATGACCATACTGCCTAAAGCAATCTACAGATTCAGTGCAATTCTTATATGAAAATAGTAACACCAGCTTTCACAGAATTAGAAAAAGCAATCCTAAAATTCATACAGAACCAAAAAAGATCCTAATAGAGAAAGCAATTCTAGGTGAATGTAGAAACCTGGAGGCATCACGCTATCTGACTTCAAACTATGCTCTAAGGCTATAGTAACTTAAATAGCACAGTGCTGGTATAGACACAGAAACAGAGATCAATAGACCAGAATAGAGAGCCCAGAAATACAGCCTCATATCTACAGTGAATAATCATTGACGACGTTAACAAAACATACACTGGAGAAAGATTTCCTTTTCAATAAAAGGTGCTGGGAAAACTAAATAGCCATATGCAGAAGAATAAAACTGGACCTGTATCTGTAATCATACACATAAATTAACTTAAGGTAATTAGCAGCTTAAATGTAAATCCAGAACTATAAAATCACCGGTGGAAACCCAAAGAGAAACTCTTCTGGGCATTGGTCTGGGCAAAGAATTCATCACTAAGACCTCAAAAGCACAGGCAATAAAAATAAAACTAGACCA
The DNA here is from genome assembly GCF_000001405.40 of Homo sapiens. NCBI lineage: Eukaryota > Metazoa > Chordata > Mammalia > Primates > Hominidae > Homo > Homo sapiens. The sequence continues at coordinate 73,852 of NT_187671.1, read as the reverse complement.
ATGGGACTTAATAAACGAAAGAGCTTCTGCCAAGCAAAGGAAATAGTAGCAGGGTGAACAGACAACCCACAGAATGAATGGAAATGTTTGCAAACTATGCACCCAACAGAGGACTAACATCCAGAATTTCTAGGCAACTCAAACAACTAAACATAACCCCTCAAATAATAGCATTAAAAAGTGGGCAAAGGGATATACATAGACATTTTTCAAAAGAAGACATACGAATGGCCAAACAGCGTATGAACATCACTAATCATCAGAGAAATGCAAATTGAAACCACAATGAGATATCATCTTACAGTAGTCAGAATGGCTATTACTAAAAATGCTGGTGGGGAGTGGTGGCTCACGCTTGTAATCCCAGCACTTTGGGAAGCTGAGGCGGGTGGATCATGAGGTCAGGAGTTTGAGACCAGCCTGACCAACATAGTGAAACCCCATCTCTACTAAATATACAAAAGATTAGCTGGGCATGGTGGTGTGGTTCTGTAATCCCAGCTACTCAGGAGGCTGAGGCAGGAGAATCATTTGAACCTGGTTGGTGGAGGTTGCAGCGCGTGGAGATGGCGGCACTGCACTCCAGCCTGGGTGACAGTGGAAGACTCCATCTCAAAAAGAAAAAAAGAAAAAGTGAAACATATAACAGGTGTTGGCAAGGATGCAGAGAAAAGGAAACTCTTATACACTGTTGGCCGGTATGTAAATTAGTATAGCCTCTATGGAAGACAGTATGGAAATTTGGCAGAGAACCAAAAATAGAAGCACCATTCGATCTAGGGGTCCCGCTGCTGGGTATCTACTCAAAAAATACCTGCACCTGTATGTTTATTGCAGCACTGTTTGCAATAGCAAAGATATGAAATCAATCTAAGTGTCTGTGAATGAATGATTGGATTAAAAAAAGGATGCGTGTATACACAACGAAATACTATTTGGTCATAAAAATAAAACCATGTCTTTTGCAGCAACATAGATGGAGCTGGACGCCATTATTTTACATAAAACCACTCAGAAAGACAAATACCACATCTTCTCACTCTACATGGGAGGGGAGTAATGTGTACATATGGACGTAGAGTGTGGAATGACGGACAGCGGAGGCTAGAAGGCTGGAGGGTGGCGGGACGTGGGTGAGTGATGAGAATTTGCTTAATGAGTACAATGTACGGTATTTGGGTGATGGATATAGTAAAAGTCCTGACTTCACTACTCTGCAACATACTCATGTCACAAAATTACAAGTGTACCTCATAAATTTATACTAATAGAAAAGAAAGTCTGTACACAGTAATCAATTGTGATATGTAGATAAAGTCAATATTAAATTTAAACCAGAATAACTAGTTAAAATGTTGTGTACACAACAGTGAAGAGAGTATTTATCCTCTATGACAGAGGAAACCATCAATATTAATGCACAGAAAAAGCAAATAACTGAAACAAGAAAGAGCAGTTTTGTGACAGGGTAAAAATTGACAACAGTTTTAGAATGCTCCTAACTTGAGTTCCAAAAAGAAAGAACGAGAAAACAGGTCAGAAGCAATCTTTAAAGAGGCAATTGTTGATTATTTGGAGGAAGTAGACACATCCATCAATCCACAGGTTCAAGAAATCCAGTGAATGCCAGGCAGAATGAAGTAAACACACCTCACGTTCAACATTACAGAAAAGCAGCATAAAAGCACAACCAACCCTTAAAATTAGCCAGAGGAAAAGGATCAGCTGGTAAGGATTTATAGGGAGCCAAGCATTGTCTTCCCCACAGAAAAAAGGAAAACATAAGCCAGTAGAATAGCATCTTTACCCAGCTAAGATACCGTCGCCAGCCACCGACAATTCCTTACATAGTACAGTTACTGTCCAAGATCAACGCAGGAAAGAAACAGAACTGAAAGACAAAAGGGCAAAGAAAGCTTTTCTCACTGACCCTAAAGGAAATTCTGATGACCGTGCCTCAAAGATAAAGAAAGTGAAACCAGATGGGGTGTCGAAGATTCTGACAATAACTAAGAGCAGAGGAAGAACTAAAAATATGGCTATGCCAAAAATGAATATGGACCATACGATAGTGTATGAAAACACGCCCCTGTGTAATTTCTGAAAAAGATAGAATTATGTATACCACAAAACAAAACATCATATAAGTAAATACAAACATATGTACTAAATATGCTCTAAAATCCTGTTCTTACACAGGAAGAGTGGAAATATGTTTTTATATTTGCAGTTTAATCTCTGAAATGATTAATTTCAATTTTAAAAATATGTAACAACTTCAGGATGAGTACACCATATATGTATTCCTAAACGACATAGATCAAAAATAGAATGTTTGAAATAGAAAACCACAGAAGTCAGTGGGAAAAAAAGGGAATCAGGAAAACACAACGTAATAATAACAAAAATATGATTGGAAGAACTGCTCAAACATGAACAAAAGATTGTCAGAAAGTCTTACTTTCTAAGGCGAATTGTTTGAAATTTACAAAGGACACATCTCAATGTTAACAATTCATGGAGTTTGAAATTAAACAATGTAGAAATATACCAAGCAATCACTGTTAGAAATGTGGTATAACTATATTAAAATTAGACAAAATTAGTCTTTGGGAAAAATCAGCGGAAAACATTAAGCATAAAATGTAGGAAAAAAGCAGGTAAATTTATAGCATTTTAAATTTACCAGGAATATATAATCAGTTTACACTTAACCACTCCCAGTAATATTCCTGCAAATATACATGGAGGAAGAGTCGCGGAAATAAATGGACAGGTAGGCAAATCCACGGCCACAGTGGGGTGTTTAACACTCCTCTTTTCTCAGTTGTTGATAGAAGTGGTTCAGGCAATTAGAGAGGATTTAGAAAGATAATTGCTGGACCTGACCCAAGGTATAAGTCCACTCCCAACCACAGGACTCACTTTCCTTACAAGCACAAGGGCATTTAGAAATCTCTCTGGATTCTGACCAGCCCTCACCATATGGCAGGTCCATGGACTTCTTGGAACACACCAAGCTCATTCTCACATTAGGGTCATCCCCAATGTCCTAAGTCCATGAAAGTTCCTTTCAACACACTCCCCAGGGCTCACTCCCTCTTGTCTCTAAGATCGGAGTTTAAATGTGATCTCTCTGATGAGGTCTCAGTGAGACGTTCCCTCCTGTACACTCCAAATGACAACGTTCCACGTTCATTCATTTCATTCTGTGCATGGCACTTTCACCAAGTGCTAAGGATTCACTCACTAATTCATACATTCATTCATTCATTCATTCACTCATTCCATCATTCACTCATTCATTCATTCTCTCATTCATTCATTCATGTTCTGCCTCTCTCTCCCACCCCACAGCAATGTGAGCATCATGAACCCAGGAGCTTGGCCGTGCTGTCTACTCCTGGCCATGAAACAGAGAGAACTGATGGTAGGTGTGAAATAAATATTAGATGAATGAGTTAGTGAAGGGGTCATTTACTGGGTGAGCTCAGTTCTCTCTACTCTAATGCCCTCCCTCGGCTGACTTCCCTGAGTTGCCCCCTCGGCTGAGTGAAGTCCCTTCACTGGCAAATGGAACCTCAACCAGTAGCACCTAGGTGGTCTCATACTTTGTTCTTTCCCTCTCCTCTTGCTCCCTAAGGATTATCAATCTCCATGACAGGGCTGGAGAGCAGACAAGCCACACATTCTTTCTGGGGAGAGAGTAACATGGAGTACAAGGCATTCCACATTTAGGAAGAGAACTCAGTTATGGAAGGTCAGAAATGAAAAGTTCCTACAGACCAACACCCAGGTTGGTGGCCACAGCCCTAAATGCTGATGGAGAATCACTGCAAGTCTGTAGGGAAGATGTCTGGCTTGAGGCCACTGAGCGAAGTGGCAGATCCTTCTCAGCCTTCAGTGCTGAGCCTCTGTCCCCTCAGGGATCCACTGACCAATGAGAAGAGCCTCTTCTCATCTCCTGGGATGGAGCTTGGGGCCCCTGGCGAAGGAATGGGCCTGTTTCCACCTGTCATGTTGTCATCTAGCTTGGAAATCCTGCGAGTCCCAGGGAGGCCCTCCCCGAGTCCCCAGAGAAGACTCCCCCACTGAGTCTCCAAGGTGTGGAGAGAGCAAAAAACATCTAGGGTGGAAAATGCCTCCCATCAAGAGACATTGGGGCTCCCCCAACGATGGTTGCATCTGTGCCCCCCATGTGGAAATCACTCTTTGGTGAGAGGTGGGGGCTTCTGGAAATGGGCAATGGCGGGCGGCCAATGCTACCTCTAGTCTTTCCAATCTGAGCCCGGCCTTTCATGCTCCTGAGTCAGCATTGATGCTGTTTACATGTGTCCCAGGTGGGCTTCTGTACAAAGACTGGGAAGTGGTTTATGTGGCCTGTGCTCTATCTGCAAGCTTCAGGTAGGGTTGCAGTTACCACCCCAAACCCTAATGTGATCTGTCTGCCTCGCTCTGTCTGTCTGTCTATGCCTCTTTCTGTATGTTTGCTTTGTGTCTCTTCTGTCCAGCATCTCTGGCTGACACCCCCATGGCCACCCCCTCCATCTGAGGCTCCCCTGAATGTGGCCATTGTAGTCCATCTGAGTCCCACTATTTGGGGAACAGACTGGTTTCCTCACCTGTGACAGAAACAAGCAGTGGGTCACTAAGGTCTGACCACTCGTAGGGAGAGTCACGGAAAGAGCCGAAGCATCTGTAGGTCCCTCCGTGGGTGGCAGGGCCCAGAGGAAAGTTGGCCTGGAAGGTTCCATTGACCTTGGGCACTGCAGGGAACCTAAGTTCATGAGCCTCCCCCTCCCTTGATAGATGGTAGATGTCATAGGAGCTCCGGGAGCTGCAGGACAAGGTCACGCTCTCTCCTGCCTTAACCATGGGGCGCGGCTGGGCTGAGAGAGAAGGTTTCCCACATAGACCTGGAAGGAGAAGAGGCAGTTTCCTCAGGGAGGTTCTTCCTTGTCACAACTCCCCTCCCACCTGAGCTGAGAACTCACTCCCCTGCTCTATGGCCTAATGCTCTCTCTCTCTGTCTCACCCTCCACACCATCTCTCTTTATGTCTATTTCCTCTTTCCACCTTCTCTGTCTCTCTAGGTCTCTGACCTCACTTTCTCACCTCTAGATATGTTTTCCCTTTTTGGATTGTTTTATTCTCTCTGACTCTCCTTGGACTAGTTGACTTGATGTTACTTTTTTTAAATTCTGAGTTTCTCACTTTGTGTCCTGTTCATAACTTTCTGCATATTTCTATCTATTATCTATCGATATATCTATTTATCTATTTGGTGCCTATCTACAAATTCTCTACCTGTCATCTATATCTATATATAATCTATTTATCTATCAATTGTCTATCCAAAAATCATCTATTATCTATATCTATGTATCGTCTCTCTCTCTCTATGATTTCTCTTTGTCTGCCTCTCTATCTCTATGTATTATCTATCTATCTTCATCTTCATCATCTCTATGTATCATCGATTAATCAATGAATGAATCAATCATCATCTATGTATCTATAACCTATTATCTATCATCTACCTATTTATCATCTATCTATATCTATCCATCTATCATCTGTCTTGCTCTGCCTCTCGGTCTCTCTAGTTCTCTTTGGAATCTCTGCAATTCATCCCCACATCTCCATCTTTCTATGTCCTTGTGTCTCTCCCTCAGGACTCTAATTTTAGTGCTTTTCTCTGTTCCCTTCCATTGTTCTCTCCACTTCTCTGCCCTCTTTTCTCCCTCTTTATGTGTCTGTGAGTCTCTCAATCTCCTTCCTCTGGCTCATTCTCTGTGTGTTTATGTCTTTGCTTTTTGGTGTCCCTGATTTCTCTCTGTGTCTCTCAGTGATCCTCTCATATGTGGGGTTATTTGGAATGTGAGCCTCAGAATCCAGTCTGGGGACCGCAAGTTCACACAGTATACAGGGGTTGATGTTCTGGGGCCATGATATCCTGGGACGATTACTCTCCATTGCATGGAAGGCAGAGGTGTCAGAATAAACACGGCATCTGTAGGTGCCAGAAGGCCTGAGGCCACAGGGCCCAACTCAGGCCAGAAATATGGGTGTCCTTGGGTTCTTCTGGTAGAGAACACTTTGTGGAAGTAAAACAGAAATGAAACTTCTAACCTGTGCCAGGTCTCTGAGCAAAGTCAGCATGGAAGGACACCTCTCTCTGGCACATGTCTGTCTGTGTCTCCTTTAACTCTTTCTGTCTTTTCTAACTCCCTGTATGGCCCCTGTGTCTGTCCTCTGTTATGACACCTGGTCTGTACTTGTGTCTCCTGTTTCTCTGTCTCTGTTGGTACAGACCTCACCAAGTTAGTCTCTCTCCATAAGAATACCAAGCTCATCTTCCTTATAACCACCTGGGCCTCCAAGTCGTGGATCATTCACTCTGTGTCCCAGTGACAATGAGAATAATGTCCAGACACTCTCACCTGTAATCACGATGTCCAGAGGGTCACTGGGAGCTGACAACTGATAGGGGGAATGAGGAACAGAACCGTAGCATCTGTAGGTCCCTGCAAGGTCTTGCGTCATGCGACCGATGGAGAAGTTGGCCTTGGAGACCCCATCATGGAGCTCTCCAGTGAGGCGCAAAGTGTCATTAAACTTCCCCTCTCTGTGCAGAAGGAAGTGCTCAAACATGACATCTGACCAACATTGCAGGATGACTGTCTCTTCTGATTTCACCAGGGGACCTGGGTGGGCCAGGAGGGAAGGTTTTCTGTGGACTCCTAGGAAGAGAGGTTGTGACTTTAGAAGGCATCTCTCTTTATCATCCCATCCATGGCACCTAGAATGAGTGAGGCTTCCCCTCGCTGGTGTCTTATCTCTCTCCTTCCTCTCTGTGTCTTCATGTTCTTTTCTGTGCCCATAACTCCTGGTACAGGTCCTTCCATCTGTCTCCCTCCCTCTTCTCTGTCCCTCTGTCTCTAGTAGCTCCTGATTCCCTTGCCGCTGGGCTCAGCCTCATCTCTTGGGCTGTTGTATCTATTTCGAACTAATGTCTTTCCTGCTTCTATGTGGGGGTGGAAGAGGAACCAGGATAGGCTGCACGTCCAGGCTCTTAGCAGACTGGTTCAATCTCTTTTGGACGAATTGGAATCCTTGGCAGAAGGTATGAACTGATCAGTAAGGCAGGCACCAGTGTCCACACACCCTGTTCCTGGTGGGGACTGGGAGCCACTCTTGCCATGCCTGTGCCTTCTCCATGGTGCCAGCTTCCATAGGCTGGCTTCTGGTGCTGGTTTGAGGAGTATCAACCCCTCCCTATGTGGATGGAGCCTGGTGGTGGCATCATCATCCCACCCTTGCTGATCTCGGTGTAGCCAACCTTCTCTTTGTTTGGTTTCTTTAATTAATTAATTAATTTTGGAGTCAGAGTCTCACTCCTTCACCCAGGCTGGAGTGAAGTGGTGTGGTCTAGGCTCACTGCAACCTCTGTCTCCTGGGTTCAAGTGATTCTCCTGCCCTCAGCCTCCTGAGTTGCTAGGATTACATGCACCTGCCACCACGCCCGGCTATCCTTGTGTCCTTTCTTATCTTGTCCTTGACCTGGGTTCCAGTGTTGGTTTCCTGTTGGTGCTGTGGAAAATTATCAGAAGCATGGCAGCAGGAGAGAGCACACTGACCCCTTCCGTTTCTGGAGACAGAAATCGGACCCTGTTTTTTGAGGGCTAAAATCAAGGCATCTGCAGGGCTGCGTTCCCTCTGGAGACCCAGGAGAATCAGTTCCTTGACTTTTCCAGCCTCTATAGGCCACCTGCATTCATGGCTCATGGCCTTCCTCCACCTTCAAAGCTGATGGAGACTTCCATTGCACTGCTCTAATCGCCACTCCCCTCTTCCTTCTCCTCTCATGTGCACCCTTGTGATTACACTGAGCCCAGCAGGACAGTCCAGGCTGTCTCCCCATCTCAAGGTCAACTCAACAACCTGAGCTCCATCTTCCCCTTCAGTGCCTTCCCCTATAACATAAATAGTCACAGACTGCAGGGATTAGAATGCAGTCATCATTGGGGACAATTATTCTTTCCACCACAGCACCCATTTCCCTGTATTCAATCCCCTTTTACCCCAAATACAGTTAGGGTCTGGATGATGGGACGCTGGTGGACACTCCCACCAGAAGCTCTGGGACTCAGGAGGTGGGACAAGGAGAATCCCAGACAGGAGCCCTCTGACCTGTGACCATGATCACCAGGGGGTTGCTGGGTGCTGACCACCCAGTGAGGAAGTGTGGGTGTGAACCCCGACATCTGTAGGTCCCTGCATGTGCTGGGGTCACAGGGCCTATGAAAACGGTGTTTCGGAATACTCTGTTGTAGAGCTCAGGGACAGGCATCCCGTCTTCTTTGGACAGACTGAATTCGTTAAACCCAAGACGAGAGCGACACTGAAGAGCCACATGTTCTCCTTCAGACACCACAGGGCTGGGCCAGGCAGAGAGGAAGGGCTTGTCCTGACCACCTGGGGGAGAAGGAGGCGCCACCTTAGAGAGGAGGATGTGGCACTCCCTCCCTCTATTCCTTTCCAGGACTCACCAACACACGCCATGCTGACGACCATGAGCGACATGGTGCTGCCGGTGCAGACAGGCGGCCGCGCCCCAGCTCAGCTCAGCAGCGCACAGGATGTTATTTGGCGCCCTGCCCATGCAGCTTACATGTTGACTACATCATGGGAGGGTGACGTACGCAGGCTCTTTCTACCTTGCATGAGGCCCAGTGGATGCTTGCTCAAGAGCGGAACACGGCTTCCTGGAAATTGTTCTCACTAGAATTGGCACCTCACGTCCTTCACTATGACCAACTCACAACACGTCTCAGATCCAACCTCCCGAACACAAGATGCCTAAAATCTGTGCTAACGTGAAAGACTTTTCATGTATTTTTATCCGAACACGAGATGCCTAAAATCTGTGCTAACATGAAAGACTTTTCATGTATTTTTTTTGTTTTTATCTGAGATTCAAACTCTTCTTCCTGTGTAATATGCAAAGTATCTAATAGGTATTATTAATGTTTTCGGAGTCATTGTGACTAATAAACCATTAGAATTTTTCATGCTTGTATTTCTAGTATTACAGCAGAACCAGCTAAAATGATTTAAATTCCCAGGGAAGGATTATGCAATTATTTACAATCTTAGAATTGTACTTTATCAGCAAAAACCACACCTGTAAATTCTGGAGTTTTGTAGTTTAATCTAAAATTTGTCTCATGACCCAAGATTCCAGAGTCCCAACTCTGGAGTTTGCTCTCTGTCTGTCTCTCTCCCTCCCTCGTTTTAAATTTTACAGAAATATCCAGTAACATAATGCTATAGAAAATCAAGTTTTCCCCAGCACGTTGGGAAGCCGAGGTGGGCGGATCAACTGAGATAAGGAGTTTGAGAGCAGCCTGGCCAATATAGTGAAACCGTGTCTCTGTTAAAAATCCAAAAATTAGCCGTGCCTGGTGGCAGGCACCTGTAACGCCAGCTACTCAAGAGGCTGAGGCACGAGAATCGCTTGAACCTGGGAGGCGGAGGTTGCAGTGAGCTGAGATTGTGCCACTGCAGTCCAGCCTGGGCGACAGAGCAAGACTCCGCCTCAAGAAAAAAAAAGCAAACAGCCTATAATAACAAATTAGAGGGCTCTGGCTACTAAATTTAAAGGGTTCTATAAGGCTACATAAAGTGCAGCATCATCAAGAGTGTGGACACAGAGAGCCCCTTAGCAGAAACAGTGTCTAAAATACATCCATGTACACACAGTCCCTTTAGAGTTGACAAAGGCTGCCGTGTGGTTTAAGGTGGCATAGAATGTCTTCTCAATAAATAATATTAAACCAATTGGTTACACCTAGGAAAAAATAAATCTAACTCACACTATAAAAACACTTCTTAGTTTTTATCTAGTTGTACATTTTTTATGATTTATATTTAAATTTGAGAAATAAAAGTCATATACGGTCATCCTTCACTATTCGTGGGTGATTGGTTTTGAGATCTCCACTCAGATACCAAAATCTGTAGATGCTCAAGCCTCTTATATGAAATGGCACAGCGTTTGCAAATAACCTATGCACATCCTCCTGTATACATGAAATCATCTCTAGATTACTTATAATTCCTGATACAGCCTACACACAGCTTCATTTGTGTCCATTCAACATAGTTATGCTTTTTGAAACTCTGTGGATACTTTCTCTCAATATTTTTGATTTATACTTGGTTCAATAAACACCTGTAAACCCCGCAGATATGGAGGAGTGACCGTATATTTATATTATGAAAGATGATGTGTTGATATGTGTCCCCATGGAGATGAGACTAACAAGGCCTATGATTCTACAAATGTTTCATTGTGGAATGACTCTGCCAGCTTTCCAGGTCTGCAGAGAGTAAGAGTATCACTTGTTCATATGATTCGTGATCCTTGGAACCTCCTATGTGCTACATCTTTGGATGGAAATTGGAGTCCCAGAGACAAATGAGGCTCCACCCTGCTTCCAGAAACTCAGAGTCCGGGGATGAGAACTCAGTGGGGAACAGATGGGATTATATGGACATGGTACTGATAACACCGGAAGCCTTAGGCAAGAAAAGAGTCCCATTACCGAAACCATGGGGGCAGACATGTTTATTTGAAGGATGGAAAACTACATTGAAGTTATTTTAAAAAATATATAAGTTTTACTGCTGACAGAAGACTGAAAGCTAGTCTGAGGGGAGGTGGAACAGCATGAGGGAAGGTGGAACAACACGTGTCTAAGTGCTGCGTTAAGAGGGAGCCTCTTGTATGTTTGGAATTGTGAGTTCCTCAGTGTGATTGCAGCCTCAAGTAGACTAGGAAGTAAGCCAGTTAGGTTGGAGAGGTGGGCAGGGGTCAAGTGAAATGGAGAACTGTGGGTTAAGCAAAGGAGTGTGTTTTTTCTCCAGCAGGCAGTGGGGACCTTAGACATTTGTAAGCAAGTGAGAGGCACATTCAGATTTGTGGTGTGAGGAAGATCGATGCCCTAAGATGCAGACTCACGCCTTCAGATTCCAGCTGCTGGTACATGGGAGCTGGCAACCCGGTTTTGAGACAGGGCTGTTGTCTCCCTAGAAGACGCCCTCAAGGCCTGACTGTGGTGCTCATGGGCAGGAGACAACTTTGGATCTGGACTCAGCATTTGGAAGTTCCGTGTACACGATGATATCTGTTGGGGGTGTCTTGGGCCTCTGAGAAGGGCGAGTGATTTTTCTCTGTGTGAAAACGCAGTGATTCAACTGTGTGTATGTCACCTCCTGAGGGTCTTGTTCATCAGAGTCCTGGAGAGAGGGAAATGCTGAGTGAGGGAGGGTGCTCACATTTTCCAGGACTCTTTGGGAATAACAGTAGCCACGAGCCCGGGCCGAGGAGTACCTACCTCGCTATTCGCTGTTCTGTTTCCTGCAGACTCTTGGTCCATTACCGCAGCATCTGTAGAAGATGGAAGTCAACAAAACAGCTCGGAGGGCACTTCTGGGTCCTCATTTCATAAGCAGATACCAACATACAGGGGGAGACCATAGGTGGCTGAGGTCCCTCAGTTGCCAACAGCAGACTCAGACATTCTATCTCTCTGAGCTCAAGGACCCATCCCATGAATAGCTCTGAGTTCCCATCCCATTGATTCTGTCTCCCACTTTCTGCCTGTCATGGAACCTTCTCCTGGATGTGAGTGGCTGCAGGGGACATGGGGATACAGTTCAGAATCAGGCAACGGTCTGTGAGTTGAAGGCAGGGACAGGGAGTCTGGTGCCCTCTCTAGAAAGTCCTGCCTCTGTGGCTGCTGCCTTGGGCCAGGGACCATCCTGTTTGTGAGGAACACACACCTGAGTGCTCCCATCCTGCTTCCCCACATGGCCCTGAGCTCTCTGGCCTCTGCTTCGTGAGACTTACTTTTTTTGTTGGAGCACCAGCGATGAAGGAGAAAGAAGAGGAGGATGAAGAGGATGATGACCACTGAGGTCCCAATCAGAATGTGCAGGTGTCGGGGGTTACCTGGAAGAAGATGAGACACCAATAAGAAGCTAATCTTAGCAGTTCCTCTTTATGAATTGTCTCGCATTTCTTGATTGACAGGTAACCACATAAAACACCTCTTTAGGACAAGCACCCAGATGGCAGGAGACCCAGCTTTCTCCTGCTTTTTCAGTTATAGCTCTCATAGTAACCATAGAACGTGCTGAGGATACGACTACTTTAGTTGAGATGTTTGACCCCTTCAAACCTCACATTGAAATTTCACCCCCACTGTGGGAGGTTGGGCCTCTTGAGAGGTGTTTGGGTCATGGAGGTGGATCCATCATGAACACATCAATGCTGTCCCAAGGAGACGGGGTTAGCAAGTTCCCCCTCTATTAGTTCCCGGAGAGCTGGTTGTTAAAAAGAGCTTGGAAGCTCCATCACTCCCCCTCCCCCTTGCTCCCTCTCTTGCCGTGTGATCTCTGTGGTCTCTGCACAGACAGACCCTCCTTCCCTTCTGCCAGAGTGGGAGCAGCCTGAGGCCGTCACGAGAAATAGATGCTGGTGCCATGCTTCCAGTACAGCCTGCAGAACGGTGAGGCAAACCAATCTCTTTTCTTTAGAAGTTACCGAGGCTCAAGTGTTCCTTTAGAGCAACAAAAATGGCCTAAGACAGCAACTTCCTGAGATCAGGAGGAACGTCTCAGAACACCCTGGGCTGTCTTCCTGTTCTTCCTGGAGGACGTCATGCAGTGCTTTAGCTGAGTGCTTCCTGTGGCTCCAGGGTACAAAACCCAGGCTGGGCTGCTTTCTGGCTTCCCGCAGCTACACTGCAAATGGGGTGACTCCATATGTCCCGAGGAGCTTTTCTGAGCCTTGAGGGACTGGGTCACATTGAAATATAGGTTTCTGTTGTCACTCGCTGCTTATCTGTTAGTAATGAACCTGCCTATGTAACGTATTCTCTGTGTGTTCTGTCTCCCTGGAGTGACGGTGAGTGATAGGAATTGGCATAGGCCCAGGTGCAGTCCAGGAGGTGTTTAGAGTCTTCTCTGGGAAGACTGGACTGGGATTGATTCACAGCGAATGTGCTTTAGGGTTTCTACATCCACAGCATTCTTGAATCAAACAACTTGCATTCTCCAAGGAAAGAAAACAAAAGTGAAATCAAGATAAAAAAAGCGAAATAGAATTCTCTTATGTCAAACGGCCAGGAAATAGTGTTGAAGCCCGTGTGAAACCTGCTGCTCTTTGTGATCTCGGGAGACACATATTAGGCTGCTGTTCTACCCGAGAGGCTGGGGGAAGGACCACCCCCTCGGCCATCTATTGCTTCAAAACCACCTGTCCTCCTGTGAATTAGTAGGAAAGGGGAGCAGGAGCTAGTGCTGTCGCTGATCTCTGATTCCAAGATCTGGACTCACTCCAAGGAGTGTTAATGTTTACCTCCCCATGGTCTATCTGAATCTCCACAGGTGATTGGAAGTAGGGGTGAGGTGGGGGATTTGGGTGAGTGGGCAAGTTTTTTTTGTGATGACCAGAGCACTTTCTCTATTCCAGGATCTGTGCTGGAGGATTCAGCGGGCTTTCACATTTTCTATATGATCTCATGCTCACAGAAAGCCAAATAGGGAAGAGGTTTTAGGCTCATTGCCTAATGGATAAGATAAAGGATCAAAGAAGTAATTATAGAGAAATAGAAAAACGATGATTGGAATTCAGGTGCCTTTGTCATTCGTGTGTGTTTTATTATATTTATGTATTTCTTATTTTTATTTTTTGAGATAGAGTCTCCTTGTGTCCCCCAGGCTGGAGTGCAGTGATGCAATCTCCACTCACTGCAACCTCCACCTACTGGGTTGAAGTCATTCTCCTGCTTCATCCTCCAGAATAGGAGCTGGGATTACAGGGATGCACCATCGTGCTCGGCTAATTTTTGTATTTTTAGTAGAGATAGGGTTTCACCACGTTGGCCAGGCTGGTCTGGAACTCCTGACTTCATGGAATCCACCCACCTTGGCCTCCTGCAGTGCTAGGTTACAGGCGTGAGCCACTGTTCACAGACTTGTATATTATGCTATAATAAGTCTCTTCATTTCCACCACCACTCATATATCTGTCACTCCTTTGCCAGGTATTGATTTATGTGTAGGATGAATAAATCTCAGAAAGAAATTAATTAAGCGAGGATTAAACAAGTAGGAAAATCAAACCCAGTAAGCCTTTCCAGTCAATGATTCTACCTCACAAACATATCTTATATCCATCTACTTCATTCATTTAGTGTCTAAATCAGCACCACATTTCACCAGTGGGGCGGCAATTGCCTTTTCCACGGTCTCCTAGATTCCAGTTATGCACCTGGGCCTCCCTTATTTTCATGTCAGTCATATTAATCATGTAGGGATTCCTGGTTACCCCGAGGTGAATCCAATGGCTGTGAGTGTCAAACACACACTCCTTGTTGCTCCTTAGTTTCCTGTGTACCCAGTGTGCTCTCCGTCTCTCTACAGTCGTCTTGTCATTCTCCCCACCTCATTCCCAGCATTTGAGTCAGAGCCTCTTCCTTCCACATCAGATTGTTTTCACCTTTGTGCCTTCATGGCTGACAGCTGTGTGTGCAAAATCCTTCCGCCAATCTTTCAGGGGTTCATTCCGTGTTTTTCATTAATGTCACAAATATCTGAATAGTGAGACCTTCTTTGTCACCTGAAATCATACACTCAGCATTATCTATTATTGATTTTGAATTCTGGCTGGGCACAGTGGCTCACGCCTGTAGTCCCATTACTTTGGCATGCTGAGACGGTCGGATCACTTGAGGTTGGGAGTTTCAGACAAGCTTGGCCAACGTGGTGAAACATCCTCTCTACAAAAAATATACAAAAAGAATTAGCCGGGCACGGTGGCAGTTGCCTGTAATCCCAGCTACTCGAGAGGCGGAGGCAGGAGAATCACTTGAATCCAGGAGACGCAGGTTGCAGTGAGCCAAGATCGTGACACTGCACTGTAGCCTGGAAGACAGAGGGCGACTCTGTCTCAATAAACAAAAGAACAAACAAAAAATAGATTTCATGCACAGATGCTTCCCAATGGACCATTCATTTATAGATCCACTTGTGCGTTCATTTTCTGCCCTCCCATTTAACCATCTGCAATATCAGTGTCCCAAGGGCAGAGGCCAAATGCATCTTGTTCACTGTTTGTGGAAGGCAGGAGAATGCTGTCCCACCCCAAAATGTCCCTGTCCTAGCCTCCATAGCTTGTGAATATGTTATTTTACATGGAAAGGAGGAATGAAGATTGCAGATGGAATTATGGTTGCTAATCAGCTGAACTTAAAACAAGGGTATCCTGGATGATTTCCAGGAGATTATGAGGGATTTTCATCTTGGTGAACCCAATAGAATCCCCAAGTTTTCAAAAGATGAGGAAGAAGGGAGAGCAGCACTCAGAGAAAGAGGTGTGGTAAGGAAGAAGGCACTGAGTGATGCCATGTGAGATGTGACCAGTCTTTGTGGGCTTTGAGGAAGGAGGAAGGGGACCAGGAGCCAAGGAACTGGGAGCCTTTAGAAGCTGGGACAAGTGAGAAGCAGATTCGTGCCTGGAATCCTCAGAGGGAAGGCAGCCTTGCTGTCACCTTGATTTTAGCCCAGTAAGATGCACTTCCTACTTTGAGCTACAGCACTGTAAGATAATTAAAAAACCGTTTTGTTTTCACCCACGAATCTTGTGGAAATTTGTTATGGCAACAATAGGAAAAGGTTCCACACTGCACAGCCTGAGCATGGGGCCGTGGCTGAATGAGTCAGTGAGTCGAAGTGTGCGTGCATGAGCTCTGTTCTCTGTTACGGCAAGGCTCTTTCTCTGCGGAGTCAGCCAGGGTTGCTTCATGACCTACAGGAGCTCATTCCTTGGCAAGTGGAACTTCTCTAAAACACCTTGCCCTCATCAGATGTTCCCTTCCCTTCCCTCTCTCAAGTCTCCAGGAATTTATCCTCCAGTTAGGAATGCAGGTAGAACAAACATTGCATTTTTCCTGAGAAGGATGTCAGATTGGCAATCATTCTTCTAGCTTGTAGGAGGTCTCAGCTCCATAAAATGAGAGATGAAGAGATTTCACTGAGCCCTGTGTTGGGCCCAGATCCCTTTCGCTGTAGGAGTATCTGGAGTTCGGAGATGGTGGAAGACAAGTGTACAATGTCAGAGCTGTGAGATGCTGAGTCAACGCCTGAATCCAAGGTTCCCACCTCCCCAGGGTTCCAAAAGCGGATATAAGAGGGTTCTGTACTCACCGGTTTTGGAGCTTGGTTCAGTGGGTGAAGGCCAACTATTTGAAGGGTTTCCTAGAACATGAGACAGGAGAGAGGTGAGGAAATGAGGGTGTCTGTCCTCTACTCAGTGGAAATCTTTGAGGATGGTTCATGGCCAACACTCTCTTATCTAATATTGAGCCCTGGGAGTCCTGGGATCCTTTTTTCCATAATTTTTTTATATGACACCCACTGTCTTGAGACTTCAAGATATAAAGAGAAAACAGGAGCATCACACTACCTGATCTCAAAATATGTTACAGAGCTGTAGTAAGCAAAATAGCATGACATTGGCATAAAGAAAGGCACATAGAACAACGGAGCAGAATGAATAACACAGATATATTCCATGCATTTACATCCAATGGTTTTTTATTTTTTCTTTTGAGATGGAGTCTTGCTCTGTCACTCAGGCTGGAGTGCAGAGGTGCAATCTCGGTTCACTGCAACCTCAGCCTCCTGGGTTCAATCATTCTCTTGCCTCAAATTCCTGAGTAGTGGTATTACAGGTGCTGACCACCATGCTCAGCTAATTTTTATATTTTTAGTGGAGACGATGTTTCATCACGTTGGCCAGACTAATCTTGAACTCCTGGCCTCAGGTGATCCACCCACCTCGGGCTCCCAAAGTGCTGAAATTGCAGGTGTTAGCCACCAAGCCCAGCCCATCCAATGGACTTTGACAAAGATGCCAAGAACTCACAATCAGGAAAGGACAGTCTTTTCAATAAACAGTGCAGGGAAACCTGGACATCTACATGCAGAGGAATGAAACTGCAACTCTACCTGTCACCATACACAAAAATCAAATGAAAATGGATTAAAGATGTGAGTCTAAGGCCTGAACCTATGAAACACGTAGAACAAAATATTGGGGAAATGCTCCAGGACGTTTGTCTGAAGGAAGACATTTTGTTTTAAACCTTCAAAACACAAGTAATCGAAGCAAAAATAGACCATTGGGATTACCTCAAACTAAGCAACTTCAGCACTGCTAAAAATAAACCAACAAAGTGAAGAGACAACCCACAGATTGGGAGCAAATATGTGCAAACTATGCATCTGAGATGGGATTAATAACTAGAAATATAAGAAGCTCAAACAACTCAATAAAACAAATGATTTAATTGAAAAAGGAGCAAAAGACATGAAATTTCCCCACATACGAAAAAGTGCTCAGTATCACTCATCATCAGAGAAACGCAAATTAAAATCAAAGTGAGTTTTCATCTCACCCCATTAAAATGGCTTTTAGGCCGGGTGAGGTGGCTCACTTGTGTCATCCTAGAACTTTGAGAACCTGAGGTGGGTGAATCTCATAAGGTTGGGAGTTTGAGACCAGTCTGACCCACATAGAGAAACGCTGTCTCTACTAAAAATACAAAAATTAGTAGGGCGTGGTGGCGTGTGCCTGTAATTCCAGCTACTCGGGAGGCTGAGGCAGGAGAATCGCTTGAACCTGGGAGGTGGAGGTTGTGGTGAGCCGAGATAGCGCCACTGCACTCCAGCCTGGGTGAGAAGAGCAAAACTCCATCTCAAAATAAAATGAAATAAAATAAAATGGCTTTTAGCTGCAAGACAGGCAAAAGAAATGCTGGCAAGGTGGTAGAGAAAGGAGAACCCTGGTACCCTGTTGGGAGGAGTGTAAATTAGTACAGCCATTACGGAGAAAAGTATGGAAGTCCTTTAAAGAACTAAAAAGAGGTTGGGTGAGGTGGATCATGCCTGTAATCCCGGCACTTTGGGAGACTGAGGCGGGCACCTCAGTTGAGGTCATGAGTTTGAGAGCAGCCCAGCCAACATGGGGAAACCGCATCTATACTAAAAAAACCAAAAAGTAGCCAGGCATGGTGGTGTGCACCTGTAATCCCAGCTACTAGGGAGGCTGAGGCAGGAAAATCATTTGAACCCAGGAGGCGGAGGTTGCA
Organism: Homo sapiens; assembly: GCF_000001405.40. Classification (NCBI taxonomy): domain Eukaryota; kingdom Metazoa; phylum Chordata; class Mammalia; order Primates; family Hominidae; genus Homo; species Homo sapiens. Next base: position 55,628 of record NT_187671.1, on the reverse strand, counting down.
ATGAGCCAAGGTTGCACCACTTTGACTCCAGCTTGGGCTAAGGAGGGAAACTCTTTCTCAAAAAAGAAAAAAAAAAAAAAAGAGAACTTTCATAGTATCCAGCAATTTCACTACTGGGTTTATATCCAAAGGAAAGTAAATCAACATATCGAAGTGATATCTGCACTCGTATGATTGGTGCAGCACTGTTCACAGTAGCCAAGATGAGGAGTCAACCTACCTGCCCATCAGTGGGTGAATGGATAGAGAGAATGTAGTACATACGCACAGTGGAGACTACTCATCCATAGAAAGAATAACATCCTGTCATTTGCAGCCACATGGATGGAACTGGAGGTCATTAAAAAGATTCCCATTTCTCACCCATATACAGGAGCTAAAAGGTGGATCTCATGAAGGTAGAGAGTAGAATGGTGGCTACTGGAGGACAGGAAGAAAAGGGTGGAGGGTAAAAAAAATGTATATATATATATATATAAAAATGTATTTATGACCACTAGACTTTACACTTAAAAATGGTAAATGTGGCTGGGCCTGGTGGCCCATGCCTGTAATCCCAGCACTTTGGGAGGCTGATGCGGGTGGATCACGTGGTCAGGAGTTCGAGACCAGCTCGACCAACATGGTGAAACCACCTCTCTACTAAAAATACAAAAAGTAGCCTGGCGTGGTGGTGCGTGCCTGTAGCACTAGCTACTCAGGTGGCTGAGGCAGGAGAATCGCTTGAACCCAGGAGGCGGAGGTTGCAGTGAGCTGAGATTGTGCCACTGCACTCCATCATAGGGGACAGAGCTAGACTCCACCTCAAAAAAAAATGTTAAAAGTGGTAAGCTATATAGGTATATTTATCCTCAATAAATATTTCTTCAAAGAAAAGTAAAGGGTGTAGGGGTTGCTGGTGATGACATCTCTGTGTGGGTGAGAGGCCAGGATGGGCTTCTGGGAAATGGGTAAGGTTGAGGGGCTGAGGGAACCTCTGATCTCCCCAAACTGAGCCCAGTCTCCCTCCTCTGGGTCTCTCCTGACCGCTTTCTCCATCTGCCTGGGTGCCTGGAGCCCTGGCCGTGGGCCTCCATGCAGGCCATGTAGGAGGGTTTGGAGGTGCCCTGTCGGCCATCCTGTGCCCTGATCCCTCCCTCACACCGAGGCTGCGTCTTCTCTCTGCATCTGTCCATGCTTCTCTCCATCCTCAGCAGGAAGCTCCTCAGCTAAGGCTCTAGGATCATAGGACATGGGACAGCCATGGGCTTTCCTCACCTGTGACAGAAACAAGCAGTGGGTCACTTGACTTTGACCACTCGTATGGAGAGTCATGGAAAGAGCCGAAGCATCTGTAGGTCCCTCCGTGGGTGGCAGGGCCCAGAGGAAAGTCAGCCTGGAATGTTCCGTTGACCTTGGGCCCTGCAGGGAGCCTACGTTCATGGGCCTCCCCTTCCCTGGATAGATGGTACATGTCATAGGAGCTCCGGGAGCTGCAGGACAAGGTCACATTCTCTCCTGCCAGAACCGTGGGGCCCAGCTGGGCTGAGAGAGAAGGTTTCTCATATAGACCTGGAAGGAGAAGAGGCAGTTTCCTCAGGGAGGATCTTCTTTGTCACAGCTCCCTTCACCTGAGCTGAGAACTCACTCCCCTGTTCTATGACCTAATGCTCTCTCTCTCTCTCTCTCACCCTCTACCCCATCGCTCTTCATGTCTATTTCCTCCTTCCACCTTCTCTGTCTCTCTAGGTCTCTGACCTCACTTCCCCACCTCTAGATATGTTTTCTCTTTTTGGATTGTTTTATTCTCTCTGACTCTCCTTGGATTGGTTGACTTGATGTTACTTTTTTTAATTCTGAGTTTCTCACTTTGTGTCCTGTTCATAACTTTCTGCATATTTCTATCTATTATCTATCGATCTATCTATTTATCTATTCGGTGCCTATCTACAAATTCTCTACCTGTCATCTATATCTATATATCATCTATTTATCCATCAATTGTCTATCTATCCATCAATCATCTATTATCTATATCTATGTATCATCTCTCTCTCTCTATGATTTCTCTATGTCTGCCTCTGTATCTCTATGTATTATCTATCTATCTGTCTTCATCATCATCATCTCTATGTCTCATCTATTAATGAATCAATCAATCATCATCTATGTATCTATAACCTATTATCTATCATCTACCTATTTATCATCTATCTATATCTATCCATCTATCATCTGTCTTGCTCTGCCTCTCGGTCTCTCTAGTTCTCTTTGGAATCTCTGCAATTCATCCCCACATCTCCATCTTTCAATGTCCTTGTGCCTCTCCCTCAGGAGTCTAATTTTAGTGCTTTTCTCTGCTCCCTTCCATCATTCTCACCACTCCTCTGCCCTCTTTTCTCTCTCTTTATGTGTCTGTGAGTCTCTCAATCTCCTTCCTCTGGCTCATTCTCTGTGTGTTTATGTCTTTGCTTTTTGGTGTCCCTGATTTCTCTCTGTGCCTCTCACTGATCCTCTCATAAGTGGGCTTATTTGGAATATGAGCCTCAGAATCCAGTCTGGAGACTACAAGTTCACACAGCATACAGGGGTTGGTGTTGTGGGGCCATGATATCCTGGGACGATTACTCTCCATTACATGGAAGGCAGAGGTGTCAGAATAAACATGGCATCTGTAGGTGCCACAAGGCCTGAGGCCACAGGGCCCAACTCAGGTCAGAAATATGGGTGTCCTTGGGTTCTCCTGGTAGAGAACACTTTGTGGAGGTAAAACAGAAATGAAACTTCTAACCTGTGCCAGGTCTCTGAGCAAAGTCAGCATGGAGGGACACCTCTCTCTGGGACATGTCTGTCTGTGTGTCTCCTTTAACTCTTTCTGTCTTTTCTAACTCCCGGTATGGCCCCTGTGTCTGTTCTCTGTTATGACACCTGGTCTCTACTTGTGTCTCCTGTTTCTCTGTCTCTGTTGGCACAGACCTCACCAAGTCAGTCTCTCTCCATAAGAATACCAAGCTCATCTTCCTTACAGCCACCTGGGTCTCCAATTCCTGGATCATTCACTCTGCATCCCAATGACAATGAGAAGAAAGTCTGGACACTCTCACCTATGATCACGATGTCCAGAGGGTCACTGGGAGCTGACACCTGATAGGGGGAGTGAGTAACAGAACCGTAGCATCTGTAGGTCCCTGCCAGGTCTTGCGTCATGCGACTGATGGAGAAGTTGGCCTTGGAGACCCCATCATGGTGTTCTCCAATGAGGCGCAAAGTGTCGTTAAACATCCCCTCTCTGTGCAGAAGGAAGTGTTCAAACATGACATCTGACCAACACTGCAGGATGACTGTCTCTTCTGATTTCACCAGGCGACCTGGGTGGGCCAGGAGGGAAGGTTTTCTGTGGACTCCTAGGAAGAGAGGTTGTGAGTTTAGAAGGTGTCTCTCTTTATCATCCCATCCATGGCACCTGGATTGAGTCAGGCTTCCCCTTCCTGGTGTCTTATCTCTCTCCTTCCTCTCTGTGTCTTCATGTTCTTTTCTGTGCCCATAACTCCTGGTGCAGGTCCTTCCATCTGTCTCCCTCACTCTTCTCTGTCCCTCTGTCTCTAGTAGCCTCTGATTCCCTTGCTGCTGGGCTCAGCCTCATCTCTTGGGCTGTTGTATCTATTTCGAACTAATGTCTTTCCTGCTGTCTATGTGGGGGTGGAAGAGGAACCAGGATAGGCTGCACATCCAGGCTCTTAGCAGCCTGGTTCAATCTCTTTTGGACGAATTGGAATCCTTGGCAGGAGGTATGAACTGATCAGTAAGGCAGGCACCAGTGGCCACACACCCTGTTCCTGGTAGGGACTGGGAGCCACTCTTGCCATGCCAGTGCCAGCTTCCATAGGCTGGCTCCTGGTGCTGGTTGGAGGAGTATCAACCCCTCCCTATGTGGATGGAGCCTGGTGGTGGCATCATCATCTGAGCCTTGCTGATCTCAGTGTAGCCAACCTTCTCCTTGTTTGGTTTCTTTAATTAATTAATTAATTTTGGCGACAGAGTCTCACTCCTTTGCCCAGGCTGGAGTGAAGTGGTGTGGTCTAGGCTCACTGCAACCTCTGTCTCCTGGGTTCAAGTGATTCTCCTGCCCTCAGCCTCCCAAGTCGCTAGGATTACATGCACCTGCCACCATGCCTGGCTATCCTTGTGTTGTTTCTTAACTTGTCCTTGACCTGGGTTCCAGTGTTGGTTTCCTGTTGCTGCTGTAGAAAATTATCAGAAGCATGGCACCAGGAGAGAGCACACTAACCCCTTCCAATTCTGGAGACAGAAATCGGACCCTGTTTGTCGTGGGTAAAATCAAGGCACCTGCAGGGCTTCGTTCCCTCTGGAGACTCAGGAGAATCAGTTCCTTGACTTTTCCAGCCTCTATAGGCCACCTGCATTCATGGCTCCTGGACTTCCTCCACCTTCAAAGCTGATGGAGACTCCCATTATGCTGCTGTAATCCCCACTCCCCTCTTCCTCCTCCTTTCATGTGGACCCCTGTGACTACACTGAGCCCATCAGGACAGTCCAGGCTGTCTCCCCATCTCAAGGTCAACTCATCAACAACCTGAGCTCCATCTTCTCCTTCAGTCCCTTCCCCTATATCATAAATAGTCACAGACTCCAGGGATTAGAATGTAGTCATCACTGGGGACAATTATTCTTCCCACCACAGCACCCATTTCCCTGTATTCAATCCCCCTTTACCCCAAATACAGTCAGGACTTGCATGATGGGACCCGCAAGGACACGCCCACCAGGAGCTCTGGGATTCAGGAGGTGGGACAAGGAGAATCCCAGACAGGAGCCCTCTGACCTGTGACCGTGATCTCCAGGGGGTTGCTGGGTGCCGACCACCCACTGGGGTAGTGTGGTTGTGAACCCCGACATGTATAGGTCCCTGCGTGTGCTGGGGTCACAGGGCCCATGAAAAGGCTGTTCCAGAATATTATGTTGTAGAGCTCAGGGACAGGCACCCCATCTTCCTTTTACAGACTGAAGTTGTTAAACCCAAGATAAGAATGACACTGAAGAATCACATGTCCTGGAGGCACCACAGGGCTTGGCCAGGCAGACAGCAAGGGCTTGTCCTGACCACCGTGGGGAGAAGGAGGCACCGCCTTAGAGAGGAGGATGTGGAGCCGCCCCTCCCTCCCTGTGCTCTGAAGATTCTCCTCGCTTTCCAAGTTTCTATGGCTGCTATCACACCTTGGTGCCCAGGGCTAAAGGAAGGACCCATCCCGCAAACACAAGGTGTCTCCCTACAACAAAAGTGTCAGCTGAGAACTTTGAGCAAGTGCTGAGTAAGAGACTCCTACTAGATTTTAATACTGTAAGATTACTCACATAAAACAACACAGGGTAGACATGGGGTGGAGGGCATGTCCTTTGAGAATGGAATATCAGCCGATGCCTGAACGAAAATAAACAACTGAGTCCCCATCAGAGGATTGGAATGTCAGGGCCATGGCTGTGGTTTTCCCACCTCTTCTGGTAGAATGACAGCAGCCACACTGCAGCCCCTACCGTCATGGAAACGCTGAAGTGTGTGAGTAACACCTTTGTCCTCAGAGGATCTGCTGTTCCTACCACTTCCCCACCACACACCCCAGCTTTGAGCACCGTAGTCTAACCCTGGTCCCCACAGAACTTGACTCTGCCAAGGGAATGAAAGGCCAGGGAGGCAAGGTCAGAAATGTGGGCCCAGCACCCCAGGGTCCCTTCTTCCTAGTTTATGAGAGACTCCCTGACAGGACTTCCCTCCCATTTCAGGAAAATCCTCTTATGTGGGGAGATGACACCCGAAGGTTGGGAGAAGGACTCACCCTCATGTGGCCAGGCCCCCTGCAGCAAGAAGAACCCTGGAAAGAAAGATCATGATGGATGACCCATCTGCAGGCAAACCAGGGCACCCTTGCTGCCCCCACTGGGCTGTGAGTCTTGGTAGCCAGGCCCTTCCTGGGCTGAAGGTAAACTCACCCTCAGTGCCTACCTGCACCCAAGAACAGGGCTGTCGGCTGTGCAGAGACCCAGCCTCCAGGTCCATATCCCCACCTCAAGCCCATATCTCCACTCCAGGCCCATATCTCCACTCCAGGCCGATATTTCCACCCTAAGCCCATATCGCCAATCCAGGCCCATATCTCCAATCCAGGCTCAGATCTCCACCCTGGGCCCATATCTCCAATCCAGGCCCTTATCTCCACTCCAGGTCCATATCTCCTCTCCAGTCCCATATCTCCACTCCAGGCCCATATATCCTCTCCAGTCCCATATCTCCACACCCAGGCCCGTATCTCCATCCTAGGCACATATCTCCTCTCCAGGCCCAGATATCGACCTCTAGGCCCATATCTCCACTCCTGGCCCATATCTCCACTCCAGGCCCAGATATCGACCTCTAGGCCCATATCTCCACTCCTGGCCCATATCTCCACTCCAGGCCCATGTCTCCACTTCAGGCCCATATCTCTACTGCAGGCCCATAACTCCACCTCCAGGCCCATGACTCCACTCCAGGCCCATATCTCCACCTCCAGGCCCATATCTCCCCTCCAGGTTCCTATCTCCCCTCCAGGTTCCTATCTCCACTCCAGGCCCAGATCTCCACTACAGTCCCATCACTCCACCTCCAGGCCTATATCTCGACCTCTGGGCCCAGATCTCCACTTCTAGGCCCATCACTCCATCTCTAGGCCCATATATCCACTCCAGGCCCAGATCTCCACTCCAGGCCCATAACTCCACCTCCAGGCCTATATCTCCACCTCTGGGCCCAGATCTCCATCCCCTCACTCCCTCCCTCTATTGCTTTCCAGGACTCACCAACACACGCCATGCTGACGACCAAGAGCGACATGGTGCTGCCGGAGCAGACAGGCAGCCGCGACCGAGCTCAGCTCAGCAGCGCACAGGATGTTATTTGGCGCCCTGCCCATGCAGTTTACATGTTGACCACATCATGGGAGGGTGACGTACGCAGGCTCTTTCTACCTTGCATGAGGCCCAGTGGGTGCTCGCTCAAGAGCGGAACACGGCTTCCTGGAAATTGTTCTCGCTAGAATTTGACACCTAGTGTCCTTCACTATGACCAACTCAAAACACGTCTGAGATCCAACCTCCCGAACACGAGATGCCTAAAATCTGTGCTAACATGAAAGACTTTTCATGTATTTCTATTGTTTTTATCTGAGATTCAAACTCTTCTTCCTGTGTAATATGCAAAATATCTAATAGGTATTATTAATGTTTTCAGAGTCATTGTCACTAATAAACCATTAGAATTTTTCATGCTTGTATTTCTAGTATTACAGCAGAACCAGTTAAAATGATTTAAATTCCCAGGGAAGGATTATGCAATTATTTACAATCTTAGAATTGTACTTTATCAGTAAAAACCCCACCTGTAAATTCTGGAGTTTTGTAGTTTAATCTAAAATTTGTCTCATGACCCAAGATTCCAGAGTCCCAACTCTGGAGTTTGTTTTCCGTCTGTCTCTCTCCCTCCCTCATTTTAAATTTTACAGAAATATCCAGTAACATAATGCTATAGAAAATCAAGTTTCCCCAGCACGTTGGGAAGCCGAGGTGGGCGGATCAACTGAGATAAGGAGTTTGAGAGCAGCCTGGCCAATATAGTGAAACCGTGTCTCTGCTAAAAATCCAAAAATTAGCCGTGCCTGGTGGCAGGCACCTGTAACGCCAGCTACTCAAGAGGCTGAGGCATGAGAATCGCTTGAACCTGGGAGGCAGAAGTTGCAGTGAGCTGAGATTGTGTCACTGCAGTCCAGCCTGGGCGACAGAGCAAGACTCCGCCTCAAGAAAAAAAAGCAAATAGCCTATAATAACAAATTAGAGAGCTCTGGCTACTAAATTTAAAGGGTTCTATAAGGCTACATAAAGTGCAGCATCATCAAGAGTGTGGACACAGAGAGCCCCTTAGCAGAAACAGTGTCTAAAGTACATCCGTGTACACACAGTCCCTTTAGAGTTGACAAAGGCTGCCGTGTGGTTTAAGGTGGCATAGAATGTCTTCTCAATAAATAATATTAAACCAATGGGTTATACCTAGGAAAAAATAAATCTAACTCACACTATAAAAACACTTCTTAGTTTTTATCTAGTTGTACATTTTTTATGATTTATATTTAAATTTGAGAAATAAAAGTCATATACGGTCATCCTTCACTATTCGTGGGTGATTGGTTTCGAGATCTCCACTCAGATACCAAAATCTGTAGATGCTCAAGCCTCTTATATGAAATGGCACAGAGTTTGCAAATAACCTATGCACATCCTCCTGTATACATGAAATCATCTCTAGATTACTTATAATTCCTGATGCAGCCTACACACAGCTTCATTTGTGTCCATTCAACACAGTTCTGCTTTTTGTAACTCTGTGGATACTTTCTCTGAATATTTTTGATTTATACTCGGTTCAATAAAGAACTGTAAACCCCACAGATATGGAGGAGTGACTGTATATTTATAGTGTGAAAGATGATGTGTTGATATGTGTCCCTGTGTAGATGAGACTAACAAGGCCTATGATTCTACAAATGTTTCATCTTGGAATGACTCTGCCAGATTTCCAGGTCTGCAGAGAGTAAGAATATCACTTGTTCATGTGATTCACGATCCTTGGAACCTCCTATGTGCTACATCTTTGGATGGAAATAGGAGTCCCAGAGACAAATGAGGCTCCACCCTGCTTCCAGAAACTCAGAGTCCGGGGGTGAGAACCCAGTGGAGAACAGATGGGGTTATGTGGACATGGTAATGATAATGGAAGTCTTAGGCAAGAAAAGAGTCCCATTACCGAAACCATGAGGGCAGACATGTTTATTTGAAGGAGGGAAAACTACATTGAAATTATTTTAAAAAATATATAAGTTTTACTGCTGACAGAAGGCTGAAAGATACTCTGAGGGGAGGTGGAACAGCATGAGGGAAGGTGGAACAGGACGTGTCTAAGTGCCGTGTTAAGAGGGAGCCTCTTGTATGTTTGGAACTGTGAGTTCCTCAGTGTGATTGCAGCCTCAAGTAGACTAGGAAGTAAGCCAGTAAGGTTGGAGAGGTGGGCAGGGGTCAAGTGAAATGGAGAATTGTGGGCTAAGCAAAGGAGTGTGTTTTTTCTCCAGCAGGCAGTGGGGACCTTAGACATTTGTAAGCAAGAGAGAGGCACATTCAGATTTGTGGTGTGAGGAAGAGCGATGCCCTAAGATGCAGACTCACGCCTTCAGATTCCAGCTGCTGGTACATGGGAGCTGGCAACCCGGTTTTGAGACAGGGCTGTTGTCTCCCTAGAAGATCCCCTCAAGGCCTGACTGTGGTGCTCATGGGCAGGAGACAACTTTGGATCTGGACTCAGCATTTGGAAGTTCCGTGTACACTCTGGTATCTGTTGGGGGTGTCTTGGGCCTCTGAGAAGGGCGAGTGATTTTTCTCTGTGTGAAAACGCAGTGATCCAACTGTACGTATGTCACCTCCTGAGGGTCTTGTTCATCAGAGTCCTGGAGAGAGGGAAATCCTGAGTGAGGGAGGGTGCTCACGTTTTCCAGGACTGTTTGGGAATAACACTAGCCACGAGGCTGGGCCGAGGAGCACCTACCTCGCTATTCGCTGTTCTGTTCCCTGCAGGCTCTTGGTCCATTACAGCAGCATGTGTAGGAGACGGAAGTCAACAAAAGAGCTCGGAGGGCACTTCTGGGTCCTCATTTCATAAGCAGATACCAACAAACAGGGGGAGGCCATAGGTGCCTGAGGTCCCTCAGTTGCCAACAGCAGACTCAGACATTCTATCTCTCTGAGCTCAAGGACCCATCCCATGAATAGCTCTGAGTTCCCATCCCATTGATTCTGTCTCCCACTTTCTGCCTGTCATGGAACCTTCTCCTGGATGTGAGTGGCTGCAGGGGACATGAGGATACAGTTCAGAATCAGGCAACGGTCTGTGAGCTGAAAGCAGGGACAGGGAGTCTGGTGCCCTCTCTAGAAAGTCCTGCCTCTGTGGCTGCTGCCTTGGGCCAGGGACCATCCTACCTGTGAGGAACACACACCTGAGTGCTCCCATCCTGCTTCCCCACATGGCCCTGAGCTCTCTGGCCTCTCCTTCGTGAGACTTACTTTTCTTGTTGGAGCACCAGCGATGAAGGAGAAAGAAGAGGAGGAGGATGAAGAGGATGATGACCACTGAGGTCCCAATCAGAACGTGCAGGTGTCTTGGGTTACCTGGAAGAAGATGAGACACCAATAAGAAGCTAATCATAGCAGTTCCTCTTTATGAATTGTCTCGCATTTCTTGATTGACAGGTAACCACGTAAAACACCTCTTTAGGACAAGCACCCAGATGGCGGGAGACCCAGCTTTCTCCTGCTTTCTCAGTTATAGCTCTCAAAGTAACCATAGAATGTGCTGAGGACACAACTACTTTAGTTGAGATGTTTGACCCCTTCAAACCTCACATTGAAATTTCACCCCCATTGTGGGAGGTTGGGCCTCTTGAGAGGTGTTTGGGTCATGGAGGTGGATCCATCATGAACAGATCAATGCTGTCCCAAGGAGACGGGGTTAGCTAGTTCCCCCTCTATTAGTTCCTGGAGAGCTGGTTGTTCAAAAGAACTTGGAAGCTCCATCGCTCCCCCTCCCCCTTGCTCCCTCTCTTGCCGTGTGATCTCTGTGGTCTCTGCACAGACAGACCCTCCTTCCCTTCTGCCAGAGTGGGAGCAGCCTGAGGCCATCACGAGAAATAGATGCTGGTGCCATGCTTCCAGTACAGCCTGCAGAACGGTGAGGCAAACCAATCTCTTTTCTTTAGAAGTTGCCCAGGCTCAAGTGTTCCTTTAGAGCAACAAAAATGGACTAAGACAGCAACGTCCTGAGATCAGGAGGAACGTCCCAGAGCAGCCTGGGCTGTCTTCCTGTTCTTCCTGGAGGAGGACGTCATGCAGTGCTTTAGCTGAGTGCTTCCTGTGGCTCCAGGGTACAAAACCCAGGCTGGGCTGCTTTCTGGCTTCCCCCAGCTACACTGCAAATGGGGTGACTCCATATGTCCCGAGCAGCTTTTCTGAGCCTTGAGGGACTGGCTCACATTGAAATGTAGGCTTCTGTTTTCACTCGCTGCTTATCTGTTAGTAATGAACCTGCCTATGTAACGTATTCTCTGTGTGTTCTGTCTCCCTGGAGTGACGGTGAGTGATAGGAATTGGCGTAGGCCCAGGTGCAGTCTAGGAGGTGTTTAGGGTCTTTTCTGGGAAGACTGCACTGGGATTGACACACAGCGAATGTGCTTTAGGATTTCTACATCCACAGCATTCTTGAGTCAAACAACTTGCGTTCTCCAAGGAAAGGAAACAAAAGTGAAATCAAGATAAAAAAGCGAAATAGAGTTATCTTATGTCCAACAGCCAGGAAATCGTGTTGAAGCCCCTGTGAAACGTCCTACTCTTTGTGATCTCGGGAGACACATGTTAGGCTGCTGTTCTACCTGAGAGGCTGGGGGAAGGACCACCCCCTCCACCATCTATTGCTTCAATACCACCTGTCCTCCTGTGAATTAGTAGGAAAGGGGAGCAGGAGCTAGTGCTGGTGCTGATCTCTCATTCCAAGATCTGGACTCACTCCAAGGAGTATTAATGTTTACCTCCCCATGGTCTATCTGAATCTCCACAGGTGATTGGAAGTAGGGGTGAAGTGGGGGATTTGAGTGAGAGGGCAAGTTTTTTTTGTGATGAACAGAGCACTTTCTCTATTCCACGATCTGTGCTGGAGGATTCAGCGGGCTTTCACATTTTCTATATGGTCTCATGCTCACAGAAAGCCAAATACGGAAGAGGTTTTAGGCTCATTGCCTAATGGATAAGACAAAGGATCAAAGAAGTAATTATAGAGAAATACAAAAATGATGATTGGAATTCAGGTGCCTTTGTCATTCGTGTGTGTTTTATTATATTTATGCATTTCTTATTTTTATTTTTTGAGACGGAGTCTCCTTGTGTCACCCAGGCTGGAGTGCAGTGATGCAATCTCCACTCACTGCAACCTCCACCTCCTGGGTTGAAGTCGTTCTCCTGCTTCATCCTCAAGAGTAGGAGCTGGGATTACAGGGATGCACCACCATGCTCGGCTAATTTTTGTATTTTTCATAGAGACAGGGTTTCACCATTTTGGCCAGGCTGGTCTGGAACTCCTGACTTCAAGTGATCCACCCGCCTTGGCCTCCTGCAGTGCTGGGAATTGCCTTTTCCACGGCCTGAGCATGGGGCCGTGGCTGAATGAGTCAGTGAGTCGAAGTGTGCGTGCATGAGCTCCGTTCTCTGTTAAGGCAAAGCTCTTGCTCTGCTGAGTCAGCCAGGGTTGCTTCATGACCAACAGTAATTCATTCCTGGGCAAGTGGAACTTCTCTAAAACACCTCGCCCTCATCAAATGTTCCCTACCCTTCCCTCTCTCAAGCCCCCAGGAATTTATCCTCCAGTTAGGAATGCAGGCAGAACAAACATTGCATTTTTCCTGAGAAGGATGTCAGATTGCCAATCATTTTTCTAGCTTGTAGGAGATCTCAGCTCCATAAAATGAGAGATTAAGAGATTTCACAGAGCCCTGTTTTGGGTCCAGATCCCTTTCGCTGTTGGAGTATCTGGAGTTTGGAGATGGTAGAAGACAGGCGTACAATGTCAGAGCTGTGAGATGCTGAGTCAACGCCTGAATCCAAGGTTTCCACCTCCCCAGGTTTCCAAAAGCGGATATAAGAGGGTTCTGTACTCACCGGTTTTGGAGCTTGGTTCAGTGGGTGAAGGCCAACTATTTGAAGGGTTTCCTAGAACATGAGACAGGAGAGAGGTGAGGAAATGAGGGTGTCTGTCCTCTACTCAGTGGAAATCTTTGAGGTTGGTTCATGGCCAACACTCTGTTATCTAATATTGGGCCCTGGGAGTCCTGGGATCCTTTTTTCCGTAATTTTTGTATGTGACGGCTACTGTCTTGAGACTTCAAGGTATAAAGAGAAAACAGGAGCATCACACTACCTGATCTCAAAATATGTTACAGAGCTGTAGTAAGCAAGACAGCATGACGTTGGCATGAAGAAAGGCACATAGAACAACGGAGCAGAATGAATAACACAGATATAATCCATGCATTTACCTCCAATGTATTTTTTGTTTTTCTTTTGAGATGGAGTCTTGCTCTGTCACCCAGGCTGGAGTGCAGAGGTGCAATCTCGGTTCACTGCCACCACAGCCTCCTGGGTTCAATCACTTCTCTTGCCTCAAACTCCTGAGTAGTGGTATTACAGGTGCTGACCACCATGCTCAGCTAATTTTTATATTTTTAGTGGAGACGATGTTTCATCACGTTGGCCAGACTAATCTTGAACTCTTGGCCTCAGGTGATCCACCCACCTCGGGCTCCCAAAGTGCTGAAATTGCAGGTGTCAGCCACCATGCCCAGCCCATCCAATGGACTTTGACAAAGGTGCCAAGAACTCACAATCAGGAAAGGACAGTCTTTTCAATAAACAGTGCAGGGAAACCTGGACATCGACATGCAGAGGAATGAAACTGCACCTCTGCCTGTCACTATACACAAAAATCAAATGAAAATGGATTAAAGATGTGAGTCTAAGGCCTGAACCTATGAAACACGTAGAAGAAAATATTGGGGAAATGCTCCAGGACGTTTGTCTGAAGGAAGACATTTTGTTTTAAACCTTCAAAACACAAGTAATCGAAGCAAAAATAGACCATTGGGATTACCTCAAACTAAGCAACTTCTGCACCGCTAAAAATAAACCAACAAAGTGAAGAGACAACCCACAGATTGGGAGCAAATATGTGCAAACTATGCATCTGAGATGGGATTAATAACTAGAAATATAAGAAGCTCAAACAACTCAATAAAACAAATGATTTAATTGAAACAGGAGCAAAAGACATGAAATTTCCCCACATACGAAAAAGTGCTCAGTATCACTCATCATCAGAGAAACACAAATTAAAATCAAAGTGAGTTTTCATCTCACCCCATTAAAATGGCTTTTAGGCCGGGCGTGGTGGCTCACGTCTGTCATCCTAGAACTTTGAGAGCCTGAGGTGGGTGAATCTCATAAGGTCGGGAGTTTGAGACCAGTCTGACCCACATGGAGAAACACTGTCTCTACTAAAAATACAAAAATTAGTCGGGCGTGGTGGCGTGTGCCTGTAATTCCAGCTACTCGGGAGGCTGAGGCAGGAGAATCGCTTGAACCTGGGAGGTGGAGGTTGTGGTGAGCCGAGATCGCACCACTGCACTCAGCCTGGGTGACAAGAGCGAAACTCCATCTCAAAATAAAATGAAATAAAATAAAATGGCTTTTAGCTGCAAGACAGGCAAAAGAAATGCTGGCAAGGTGTTAGAGAAAGGAGAATCCTGGTATCCTGTTGGTAGGAGTGTAAATTAGTACAGCCATTACGGAGAAAAGTGTGGAAGTCCTTTAAAGAACTAAAAAGAGGTTGGGTGAGGTGGATCATGCCTGTAATCCCGGCACTTTGGGAGACCGAGGCGGGCACCTCAGTTGAGGTCATGAGTTTGAGAGCAGCCCAGCCAACATGGGGAAACCGCATCTATACTAAAAAAAACAAAAAGTAGCCAGGCATGGTGGCGTGCGCCTATAATCCCTGATACTAGGGAGGCTGAGGCAGGAAAATCATTTGAACCCAGGAGGCAGAGGTTGCAATGAGCCAAGATGACATCACTTGTACTCCAGCCTGGGCACAGAGGGAAACTGTCTCAAAAACAAAAACAAAACAACAAACGAAAAACTAAAAAGAGAACTTTCATAGTATCCAGCAATTTCACTACTGGGTTTATATCCAAAGGAAAGTAAATCAATATATCGAAGTGATATCTGCACTCGTATGATTGGTGCAGCACTCTTCACAGTAGCCAAGATGAGGAGTCAACCTACCTGCCCATCAGTGGGTGAATGGATAGAGAGAATGTGGTACATTTGCATAGTGGAGACTACTCTTCCATAGAAAGAAAAACATCCTGATATTTGCAGCCACATGGATGGAACTGGAGGTCATTACAAAGATTCCCATTTCTTACCCATATACAGGAGCTAAAAGGTGGATCTCATGAAGGTAGAGAGTAGAATGGTGGCTACCAGAGGCCAGGAAGAAAAGGGTGGAGGGTAAAAAAAAATATGTGTATATATATATATATTAATGTATTTATGACCACTAGACTTTACACTTAAAAATGGTAAATGTGGCTGGGCGTGGTGGCTCATGCCTGTAATCCCAGCACTTTGGGAGGCTGATGCGGGTGGATCACGTGGTCAGGAGTTCGAGACCAGCTTGACCAACATGGTGAAACCCCCTCTCTACTAAAAATACAAAAAGTAGCCTGGCATGGTGGTGCGCGCCTGTAGCACCAGCTACTCAGGTGGCTGAGGCAAGAGAATCGCTTGAACCCAGGAGGCGGAAGTTGCAGTGAGCTGAGATTGTGCCAATGCACTCCAGCATAGGGGACAGAGCTAGACTCCGCCTCAAAAAAAAAATGTTAAAGGTGGTAAGCTATATAGGTATATTTATCCTCAATAAATATTTCTCAAACAAAAGTAAAGGGTGTAGGGGTTGCAGGTGATGACATCCCTGTGTGGGTGGGAGGCCAGGATGGGCTTCTGGGAAATGGGTAATGTTGAGGGGCTGAGGGAACCTCTGATCTTCCCAAACTGAGCCCAGTCTCCCTCCTCTGGGTCTCTCCTGACCGCTTTCTCCATCTGCCTGGGTGCCTGGAGTCCTGGCCGCAGGCCTTCATGCAGGCCATGTAGGAGGGTTTGGAGGTGCCCTGTCTGCCATCCTGTGCCCTGATCCCTCCCTCACACCCAAGCTTCGTCTTCTCTCTGCATCTGTTCATCCTTCTCTCCATCCTCAGCAGGAAGCTCCTCAGCTAAGGCTCTAGGATCATAGGACATGGGACAGCCATGGGCTTTCCTCACCTGTGACAGAAACAAGCAGTGGGTCACTCGAGTTTGACCACTCGTAGGGAGAGTCACGGAAAGAGCCGAAGCATCTGTAGGTTCCTCCGTGGGTGGCAGGGCCCAGAGGAAAGTCAGCCTGGAATGTTCCGTTGACCTTGGGCCCTGCAGAGAACCTACGTTCATGGGCCTCCCCCTCCCTGGATAGATGGTACATGTCATAGGAGCTCCGGGAGCTGCAGGACAAGGTCACGCTCTCTCCTGCCAGAACCGTGGGGCCCGGCTGGGCTGAGAGAGAAGGTTTCTCATATAGACCTGGAAGGAGAAGAGGCATTTTCCTTACGGAGGATCTTCCTTGTCACAGCTCCCTTCACCTGAGCTGAGAACTCACTCCCCTGCTCTATGACCTAATGCTCTCTCTCTCTCTCTCTCTCACCCTCCACCCCATCTCTCTTCATGTCTATTTCCTCCTTCCACCTTCTCTGTCTCTCTAGGTCTCTGACCTCGCTTCCACACCTCTAGATATGTTTTCCCTTTTTGGATTGTTTTATTCTCTCTGACTCTCCTTGGATTGGTTGACTTGATGTTACTTTTTTAAATTCTAAGTTTCTCACTTTGTGTCCTGTTCATAACTTTCTGCATATTTCTATCTATTATCTATCGATCTATCTATTTATCTATTCGGTGCCTATCTACAAATTCTCTACCTGTCATCTATATCTATATATCATCTATGTATCTATCACTTGTCTATCTATCCATCAATCATCTGTTATCTATATCTATGTATCATCTCTCTCTCTATGACTTCTGTCTGCCTCTCTATCTCTATGTATTATCTATCTGTCTTCATCATCATCATCTCTATGTCTCATCTATTAATGAATCAATCAATCATCATCTATGTATCTTTAACCTATTATCTATCATCTACCTATTTATCATCTATCTATATCTATCCATCTATCATCTGTCTTGCTCTGCCTCTCGGTCTCTCTAGTTCTCTTTGGAATCTCTGCAATTCATCCCCACATCTCCATCTTTCTATGTCCTTGTGCCTCTCCCTCAGGAGTCTAATTTTAGTGCTTTTCTCTGCTCCCTTCCATCATTCTCACCACTCCTCTGCCCTCTTTTCTCTCTCTTTATGTGTCTGTGAGTCTCTCAATCTCCTTCCTCTGGCTCATTCTCTGTGTGTTTATGTCTTTGCTTTTTGGTGTCCCTGATTTCTCTCTGTGCCTCTCAGTGATCCTTTCATATGTGGGGTTATTTGGAATGTGAGCCTCAGAATCCAGTCTGGAGACCACAAGTTCACACAGCATACAGGAGTTGGTGTTCTGGGGCCATGATATCCTGGGACGGTTACTCTCCATTACATGGAAGGCAGAGGTGTCAGAATAAACACGGCATCTGTAGGTGCCACAAGGCCTGAGGCCACAGGGCCCAACTCAGGTCAGAAATATGGGTGTCCTTGGGTTCTCCTGGTAGAGAACACTTTGTGGAGGTAAAACAGAAATGAAACTTCTAACCTGTGCCAGGTCTCTGAGCAAAGTCAGCATGGAGGGACACCTCTCTCTGGGACATGTCTGTCTGTCTGTCTCCTTTAACTCCTTCTGTCTTTTCTAACTCCCGGTATGGCCCCTGTGTCTGTCCTCTGTTATGACACCTGGTCTGTACTTGTGTCTCCTGTTTCTCTGTCTCTGTTGGTACAGACCTCACCAAGTCAGTCTCTCTCCATAAGAATACCAAGCTCATCTTCCTTACAACTACCTGGGGGTTCCAAGTCGTGGATCATTCACTCTGCATCCCAATGACAATG
Organism: Homo sapiens; assembly: GCF_000001405.40. Lineage (NCBI taxonomy): Eukaryota > Metazoa > Chordata > Mammalia > Primates > Hominidae > Homo > Homo sapiens. The sequence continues at coordinate 37,843 of NT_187671.1, read as the reverse complement.
AGAAGAATGTCCGGACACTCTCACCTGTGATGACGATGTCCAGAGGGTCACTGGGAGCTGACAACTGATGGGGGAGTGAGTAACAGAACCGTAGCATCTGTAGGTCCCTGCCAGGTCTTCCATCATGGGACCGATGGAGAAGTTGGCCTTGGAAACCCCATCATGGTGCTCTCCAGTGAGGTGCAAAGTGTCGTTAAACTTCCCTTCTCTGTGCAGAAGGAAGTGCTGAAACCTGACATCTGACCAACATTGCAGGATGACTGTCTCTTCTGATTTCACCAGGGGACCTGGGTGGGCCAGGAGGGAAGGTTTTCTGTGGACTCCTAGGAAGAGAGGTTGTGAGTTTAGAAGGTGTCTCTCTTTATCATCCCATCCATGGCACCTAGAATGAGTGAGGCTTCCCCTTGCTGGTGTCTGTCTCTCTCCTTCCTCTCTGTGTCTTCATGTTCTTTTCTGTGCCCATAACTCCTGGTGCAGGTCCTTCCATCTGTCTCCCTCCCTCTTCTCTGTCCCTCTGTCTCTAGTCGCCTCTGATTCCCTTCCCACTGGGCTTAGCCTCATCTCTTGGGGTGTTGTATCTATTTCACACTAATGTCTTTCCTGCTGTTTATGTGGGGGTGAAAGAGGAACCAGGATAGGCTGCACATCCAGCCTCTTATCAGCCTGGTTCAATCTCTTTTGGATGAATTGGAATCCTTGGCAGTAGGTATGAACTGATGAATAAGGCAGGCACCAGTGTCCACACACCCTGTTCCTGGTCGGGACTGGGAGCCACTCTTGCCATGCCTGTGCCTTCTCCATGGTGCCAGCTTCCATAGGCTGGCTCCTGGTGCTGGTTTGAGGAGTATCAACCCCTCCCTATGTGGATGGAGCCTGGTGGTGGCATCATCATCCCACACTTGCTCATCTCGGTGTAGCCAACCTTCCCCTTGTTTGGTTCCTTTAATTAATTAATTAATTATGGAGACAGAGTCTCACTCCTTCACCCCAGCTGGAGTGAAGTGGTGTGGTCTAGGGTCACTGCAACCTCTGTCTCCTGGGTTCAAGTGATTCTCCTGCCCTCAGCCTCCCAAGTCGCTAGGATTACATGCGCCTGCCACCACACCCGGCTATCCTTGTGTTGTTTCTTACCTTGTCCTTGACCTGGGTTCCAGTGTTGGTTTCCTGTTGCTGCTGTAGAAAATTATCAGAAGCATGGCAGCAGGAGAGAGCACACTGACCCATTTCACTACTGGAGACAGAAATAGGACCCTGTTTTTCCTGGGCTAAAATCAAGGCATCTGCAGGGCTTCGTTCCCTCTGGAGACTCTGGAGAATCATTTCCTTGACTTTTCCAACCTCTACAGGCCACCTGCATTCATGGCTCCTGGCCTTCCTCCACCTTCAAAGCTGGTGGAGTCTCCCATTGCGCTGCTCTAATCCCCACTCCCCTCTTCCTCCTCCTTTCATGTGGACCCTTGTGATTACACTGAGCCCAGCGGGACAGTCCAGGCTGTCTCCCCATCTCAAGGTCAACTCATCAACAACCTGAGCTCCATCTTCCCCTTCAGTTCCTTCCCCTATAACATAAATAGTCACAGACTCCAGGGATTAGAATGTAGTCATCACTGGGGACAATTATTCTTCCCACCACAGCACCCATTTCCCTGTATTCAATCCCCCTTTACCCCAAATATAGTCAGGGCCTGGGTGATGGGACCCTCAAGGACACGCCCACCAGAAGCTCTGGGATTCAGGAGGTGGGAAAGGAGAATCCAAGACAGGAGCCCTCTGACCTGTGGCCATGATCACCAGGGTGTTGCTGGGTGCCGACCACCCACTGGGGTAGTGTGGGTGTGAACCCCGACATCTGTACGTCCCTGTGTGTGCTGGGGTCACAGGGCCCATGAAAAGGCTCTTCCAGAATATTCTGTTGTAGAGCTCAGTGCCAGGCACCCCATCTTCCTTTTACAGACTGAAGTTGTTAAACCCAAGATAAGAATGACACCGAAGAATCACATGTCCTGGAGGCACCACAGAGCTGGGCCAGGCAGACAGCAAGGGCTTGTCCTGACCACCTTGGGGAGAAGGAGGCACCGCCTTAGAGAGGAGGATGTGGAGCCACCCCTCCCTCCCTGTGCTCTGAAGATTCTCCTCGCTTTCCAAGTTTCTATGGCTGCTATCACACCTTGGTGCCCAGGGCTAAAGGAAGGACCCATCCCGCAAACACAAGGTGTCTCCCTACAACAAAAGTGTCAGCTGAGAACTTTGAGCAAGTGCTGAGTAAGAGACTCCTACTAGATTTTAATACTGTAAGATTACTCACATAAAACAACACAGGGTAGACATGGGGTGGAGGGCATGTCTTTGAGAATGGAATATCAGCAGATGCCTGAATGAAAATAAGCAACTGAGCCCCCATCAGAGGATTTGGAATGTCAGGGCCATGGCTGTGGTTTCCCACCTCTTCTGGTGGAGTGACAGCAGCCACACTGCAGCCCCTACCGTCATGGAAACGCTGAAGTGTGAGTAACACCTTTGTCCTCAGAGGATCTGCTGTTCCTACCACTTCCCCACCACGCACCCCAGCTTTGAGCACCCCAGTCTAACCCTGGTCCCCACAGAACTTGACTCTGCCAAGGGAATGAAAGGCCAGGGAGGCGAGGTCGGAACTGTGGGCCGAGCACCCCAGGGTCCCCTCTTCCTAGTTTATGAGAGGCTCCCTGACAGGACTTCCCTCCTGTTTCAGGAAAATCCTCTTATGTGGGGAGATGACACCCTAAGGTTTGGAGAAGGACTCACCCTCATGTGGCCAGGCCCCCTGCAGCAAGAAGAACCCTGGAAAGAAAGATCATGATGGACGATCCATCTGCAGGCAAACCAGCCCTCCCTTGCTGCCCTCACTGGGCTGTGAGTCTTGGTAGGCAGGCCCTTCCTGGACTGAAGTTAAACTCACCCTCAGTGCCTACCTGCACCCAAGAACAGGGCTGTCGGCTGTGCAGAGACCCAGCCTCCAAGCCCAGATCCCCACCACAAGCCCATATCCCCACCACAAGCCCATATCTCCACTCCAGGCCAATATTTCCACCCTAGGCCTGTATCTCCACTCCAGGCCCATATCTCCACTCCAGGCCGATATTTCCATCATAGGCCCATATCGCCAATCCAGGCCCATATCGCCAATCCAGGCCAAGATCTCCACTGTAAGCCCATATCTCCAATCCAGGCCCATATCTCCACTCCAGGCTCAGATCTCCAACCTAGGCCCATATCTCCAATCCAGGCCCATATCTCCACACCAGGCCCATATCTCTACTGAAGGCCAGTAACTCCACCTCCAGGCCCATATCTCCACTCCAGGCCCAGATCTCCACCCCAAGCCCATATCTCCACCCCAGGCCCATATCTCTACTGAAGGCCCGTAACTCCACCTCCAGGCCCATATCTCCACCCCAGGCCCAGATCTCCACCCCAAGCCCATATCTCCACTCTAGGCCCATATCTCCTCTCCAGTCCCATATCTCCACAACCAGGCCCATATCTCCATCCTAGGCCCATATTTCCACTCTAGGCCCAGATATCCACCTCTAGGCCCATATCTCCACTCCTGGCCCAAATCTCCACTCCAGGCCCATATCTCTACTATAGGCCTATAACTCCACCTCCAGGCCCATATCTCCACTCCAGGCTCCTATCTCCCCTCCAGGTTCCTATCGGCACTCCAGGCCCAGATCTCCACTTCTAGGCCCATCACTCCATCTCTAGGCCCATATATCCACTCCAGGCCCAGATCTCCACTCCAGGCCCACAACTCCACCTCCAGGCCTATATCTCCACCTCTGGGCCCAGATCTCCAACCCCACACTCCCTTCCTCTATTCCCTTCCAGGACTCACCAACACACGCCATGCTGACGACCGTGAGCGACATGGTGCTGCCGGTGCAGACAGGCGGCCGTGCCCCAGCTCAGCTCAGCAGCGCACAGGATGTTATTTGGCGCCCTGCCCATGCAGTTTACATGTTGACCACATCATGGGAGGGTGACGTACGCAGGCTCATTCTACCTTGCATGAGGCCCAGTGGGTGCTCGCTCAAGAGCGGAACACGGCTTCCTGGAAATTGTTCTCACTAGAATTTACACCTAGCGTCCTTCACTATGACCAACTCAAAACACGTCTCAGATCCAACCTCCTGAACACGAGATGCCTAAAATCTGTGCTAACGTGAAAGACTTTTCATGTATTTTTATTGTTTTTATCTGAGATTCAAACTCTTCTTCATGTGTAATATGCAAAATATTTAATAGGTATTATTAAGGTTTTCAGAGTCATTGTGACTAATAAACCATTAGAATTTTTCATGCTTGTATTTCTAGTATTACAGCAGAACCAGTTAAAATGATTTAAATTCCCAGGGAAGGATTATGCAATTATTTACAATCTTAGAATTGTACTTTATCAGCAAAAACCACACCTGTAAATTCTGGAGTTTTGTAGTTTAATCTAAAATTTGTCTCATGACCCAAGATTCCAGAGTCCCAACTCTGGAGTTTGATCTCTCTCTGTCTCTCTGCCTCCCTCATTTTAAATTTTACAGAAATATCCAGTAACATAATGCTATAGAAAATCAAGTTTCCCCAGCACGTCGGGAAGCCGAGGTGGGCGGATCAACTGAGATGAGGGGATTGAGAGCAGCCTGGCCAACATAGTGAAACCGTGTCTCTGCTAAAAATCCAAAAATTAGCCATGCCTGGTGGCAGGCACCTGTAACGCCAGCTACTCAAGAGGCTGAGGCACGAGAATCGCTTGAACCTGGGAGGCGGAGGTTGCAGTGAGCTGAGATTGTGTCACTGCAGTCCAGCCTGGGCGACAGAGCAAGACTCCGCCTCAAGAAAAAAAAAAGCAAATAGCCTATAATAACAAATTAGAGGGCTCTGGCTACTAAATTTAAAGGGTTCTATAAGGCTACATAAAGTGTAGCATCATCAAGTGTGTGGACACAGACAGCCCCTTAGCAGAAACTGTCTAAAATACATCCATGTACACACAGTCCCTTTAGAGTTGACAAAGGCTGCCGTGTGGTTTAAGGTGGCATAGAATGTCTTCTCAATAAATAATATTAAACCAATGGGTTACACCTAGTAAAAAATAAATCTAACTCACACTATAAAAACACTTCTTAGTTTTTATCTAGTTGTACATTTTTTGATTTATATTTAAATTTGAGAAATAAAAGTCATATACGGTCATCCTTCACTATTCGTGGGTGATTGGTTTCGAGATCTCCACTCAGATACCAAAATCTGTAGATGCTCAAGCCTCTTATATGAAATGGCACAGCGCTTGCAAATAACATATGCACATCCTCCTGTATACATGAAATCATCTCTTGATTACTTATAATTCCTGATACAGCCTACACACAGCTTCATTTGTGTCCATTCAACATAGTTATGAGTTTTGGAACTCTGTGGATATTTTCTCTGAATATTTTTGATTTATACTTTGTTCAATAAAGACCTGTAAACCCCACAGATACGGAGGAGTGACCGTATATTTATAGTATGAAAGATGATGTGTTGATATGTGTCCCCATGGAGATGAGACTAACAAGGCCTATGACTCTACAAATGTTTCATCGTGGAATGACTCTGCCAGCTTTCCAGGTCTGCAGAGAGTAACAATGTCACTTGTTCATGTGATTCCCGATCCTTGGAACCTCCTATGTGCTGCATCTTTGGATGGAAATTGGAGTCCCAGAGACAAATGAGGCTCCACACTGCTTCCAGAAGCTCAGAGTCCAGAGGTGAGAACCCGGTGGAGAACAGATGGGATTATATGGACATGGTACTGATAACACCGGAAGCCTTAGGCAAGAAAAGAGTCCCATTACCTAAACCATGAGGGCAGACATGTTTATTTGAAGGAGGGAAAACTACATTGAAATTATTTTAAAAAATATATAAGTTTTACTGCTGACAGAAGGCTGAAAGCTAGTCTGAGGGGAGGTGGAACAGCATGAGGGAAGGTGGAACAGCACGTGTCTAAGTGCCGTGTTAAGAGGGAGCCTCTTGTATGTTTGGAATTGTGAGTTCCTCAGTGTGATTGCAGCCTCAAGTAGACTAGGAAGTAAGCCAGTTAGGTTGGAGAGGTGGGCAGGGGTCAAGTGAAATGGAGAATTGTGGGCTAAGCAAAGGAGTGTGTTTTCTCTCCAGCAGGCAGTGGGGACCTTAGACATTTGTAAGCAAGGGAGAGGCACGTTCAGATTTGTGGTGTGAGGAAGAGCGATGCCCTAAGATGCAGACTCACGCCTTCAGATTCCAGCTGCTGGTACATTGGAGCTGGCAACCCAGTTTTGAGACAGGGCTGTTGTCTCCCTAGAAGATCCCCTCAAGGCCTGACTGTGGTGCTCATGGGCAGGAGACAACTTTGGATCAGGGCTCAGCATTTGGAAGTTCCGTGTACACGATGATATCTGTTGGGGGTGTCTTGGGCCTCTGAGAAGGGCGAGTGATTTTTCTCTGTGTGAAAACGCAGTGATTCAACTGTGCATATGTCACCTCCTGAGGGTCTTGTTCATCAGAGTCCTGGAGAGAGGGAAATGCTGAGTGAGGGAGGGTGCTCACATTTTCCAGGACTCTTTGGGAATAACACTAGCCACGAGGCTGGGCCGAGGAGCACCTACCTCCCTGTTCACTGTTCTGTTCCCTGCAGGCTCTTGGTCCATTACAACAGCATCTGTAGAAGACGGAAGTCAACAAAACAGCTCAGAGGGCACTTCTGGGCCCTCATTTCATAAGCAGATACCAACATACAGGGGGAGACCATAGGAGCCTGAGGTCCCTCAGTTGCCAACAGCAGACTCAGACATTCTATCTCTCTGAGCTCAAGGACCCATCCCATGAATAGCTCTGAGTTCCCATCCCATTGATTCTGTCTCCCACTTTCTGCCTGTCATGGAACCTTCTCCTGGATGTGAGTGGCTGCAGGGGACATGAGGATACAGTTCAGAATCAGGCAATGGTCTGTGAGCTGAAGGCAGGGACAGGGAGTCTGGTGCTCTCTCTAGAAAGTCCTCCCTCTGTGGCTGCTGCCTTGGGCCAGGGACCATCCTGTCTGTGAGGAACACACACCTGAGTGCTCCCATCCTGCTTCCCCACATGGCCCTGAGCTCTCTGGCCTCTGCTTCGTGAGACTTACTTTTTTTGTTGCAGCACCAGCGATGAAGGAGAAAGAAGAGGAGGAGGATGAAGAGGATGATGACCACTGAGGTCCCAATCAGAACATGCAGGTGTCTGGGGTTACCTGGAAGAAGAGGAGACACCAATAAGAAGCTAATCATAGCAGTTCCTCTTTATGAATTGTCTCACATTTCTTGATTGACAGGTAACCACATACAACACCCCTTTAGGACAAGCACCCAGATGGAGGGAGACCCAGCTTTCTCCTGCTTTCTCAGTTATAGCTCTCATAGTAACCATAGAACGTGTTGAGGATACAACTACTTTAGTTGAGATGTTTGACCCCTTCAAACCTCACATTGAAATTTCACCCCCACTGTGGGAGGTTGGGCCTCTTGAGAGGTGTTTGGGTCATGGAGGTGGATCCATCATGAACAGACCAATGCTGTCCCAAGGAGACGGGGTTAGCAAGTTCCCCTTCTATTAGTTCCTGGAGAGCTGGTTGTTCAAAAGAGCTTGGAAGCTCCATCGCTCCCCCTCCCCCTTGCTCCCTCTCTTGCCGTGTGATCTCTGTGGTCTCTGCACAGACAGACCCTCCTTCCCTTCTGCCAGAGTGGGAGCAGCCTGAGGCCGTCACGAGAAATAGATGCTGGTGCCACGCTTCCAGTACAGCCTGCAGAACTGTGAGGCAAACCAATCTCTTTTCTCTAGAAGTTACCCAGGCTCAAGTGTTCCTTTAGAGCAACAAAAATGGACTAAGACAGCAACGTCCTGAGATCAGGAGGAACGTCTCAGAACAGCCTGGGCTGTCTTCCTGTTCTTCCTGGAGGAGGACGTCATGCAGTGCTTTAGCTGAGTGCTTCCTGTGGCTCCACAGTACAAAACCCAGGCTGGGCTGCTCTCTGGCTTCCCCCAGCTACACTGCAAATGGGGTGACTCCATATGTCCCGAGTAGCTTTTCTGAGCCTTGAGGGACTGGCTCACATTGAAATGTAGGTTTCTGTTGTCACTCGCTGCTTATCTGTTAGTAATGAACCTGCCTGTGTAATGTATTCTCTGTGTGTTCTGTCTCCCTGGAGTGACGGTGAGTGATAGGAATTGGCATAAGCCCAGGTGCAGTCCAGGAGGTATTTAGAGTCTTCTCTGGGAAGACTGCACTGGGATTGATACACAGCGAATGTGCTTTAGGATTTCTACATCCACAGCATTCTTGAATCAAACAACTTGCATTCTCCAAGAAAAGGAAACAAAAGTGAAATCAAGATAAAAAAAGCTAAGTAGAATTCTCTTATGTCAAATGGCCAGGAAATAGTGTTGAAGCCCGTGTGAAACGTGCTACTCTTTGTGATCTCGGGAGACACATGTTAGGCTGCTGTTCTACCCGAGAGGCTGGGGGAAGGACCACCCCCTCGGCCATCTATTGCTTCAATACCACCTGTCCTCCTGTGAATTAGTAGGAAAGAGGAGCAGGAGCTAGTGCTGGCACTGATCTCTGATTCCAAGATCTGGACTCACTCCAAGGAGTATCAATGTTTACCTCCCCATAGCCTATCTGAATCTCCACAGGTGATTGGAAGTAGGGGTGAGGTGGGGGATTTGGGTGAGTGGGCAAGTTTTTTGTTGCGATGAACAGAGCACTTTCTCTATTCCACGATCTGTGCTGGAGGATTCTGAGGGCTTTCACATTTTCTATGTGATCTCATTCTCACAGAAAGCCAAATAGGGAAGAGGTTTTAAGCTCATTGCCTAATGGATAAGATAAAGGATCAAAGAAGTAATTATAGAGAAATAGAAAAACGATGATTGGAATTCAGGTGCCTTTGTCATTCGTGTGTGTTTTATTATATTTATGTATTTCTTATTTTTATTTTTTGAGATAGAGTCTCCTTGTGTCCCCCAGGCTGGAGTGCAGTGATGCAATCTCCACTCACTGCAACCTCCACCTACTGGGTTGAAGTCATTCTCCTGCTTCATCCTCCAGAATAGGAGCTGGGATTACAGGGATGCACCATCGTGCTCGGCTAATTTTTGTATTTTTAGTAGAGATAGGGTTTCACCACGTTGGCCAGGCTGGTCTGGAACTCCTGACTTCATGGAATCCACCCACCTTGGCCTCCTGCAGTGCTAGGTTACAGGCGTGAGCCACTGTTCACAGACTTGTATATTATGCTATAATAAGTCTCTTCATTTCCACCACCACTCATATATCTGTCACTCCTTTGCCAGGTATTGATTTATGTGTAGGATGAATAAATCTCAGAAAGAAATTAATTAAGCGAGGATTAAACAAGTAGGAAAATCAAACCCAGTAAGCCTTTCCAGTCAATGATTCTACCTCACAAACATATCTTATATCCATCTACTTCATTCATTTAGTGTCTAAATCAGCACCACATTTCACCAGTGGGGTGGCAATTGCCTTTTCCACGGTCTCCTAGATTCCAGTTATGCAACTGAGCCTCCCTTATTTTCATGTCAGTCATATTAATCATGTAGGGATTCCTGGTTACCCCGAGGTGAATCCAATGGCTGTGAGTGTCAAACACACACTCCTTGTTGCTCCTTAGTTTCCTGTGTACCCAGTGTGCTCTCCGTCTCTCTACAGTCGTCTTGTCATTCTCCCCACATCATTCCCAGCATTTGAGGCAGAGCCTCTTCCTTCCACATCAGATTGTTTTCACCTTTGTGCCTTCACGGCTGACAGCTGTGTGTGCAAAATCCTTCCGCCAATCTTTCAGGGGTTCAATCCGTGTTTTTCATTAATGTCACAAATATCTGAATAGTGAGACCTTCTTTGTCACCTGAAATCATACACTCAGCATTATCTATTATTGATTTTGAATTCTGGCTGGGCACAGTGGCTCACGCCTGTAGTCCCATTACTTTGGCATGCTGAGACGGTCGGATCACTTGAGGTTGGGAGTTTCAGACAAGCTTGGCCAACGTGGTGAAACATCCTCTCTACAAAAAATATACAAAAAGAATTAGCCGGGCACGGTGGCAGTTGCCTGTAATCCCAGCTACTCGAGAGGCGGAGGCAGGAGAATCACTTGAATCCAGGAGACGCAGGTTGCAGTGAGCCAAGATCGTGACACTGCACTGTAGCCTGGAAGACAGAGGGCGACTCTGTCTCAATAAACAAAAGAACAAACAAAAAATAGATTTCATGCACAGATGCTTCCCAATGGATCATTCATTTATAGATCCACTTGTGCATTCATTTTCTGCCCTCCCATTTAACCATCTGCAATATCAGTGTCCCAAGGGCAGAAGCCAAATGCATCTTGTTCACCGTTTGTGGAAGGCAGGAGAATGCTGTCCCACCCCAAAATGTCCCTGTCCTAGCCTCCATAGCTTGTGAATATGTTATTTTACATGGAAAGGAGGAATGAAGATTGTAGATGGAATTGCGGTTGCTAATCAGCTGAACTTAAAACAAGGGTATCCTGGATGATTTCCAGGAGATTATGAGGGATTTTCATCTTGGTGAACCCAATAGAATCCCCAAGTTTTCAAAAGATAAGGAAGAAGGGAGAGCAGCATTCAGAGAAAGAGGTGTGGTAAGGAAGAAGGCACTGAGTGATGCCATGTGAGATGTGACCAGTCTTTGTGGGCTTTGAGGAAGGAGGAAGGGGAACAGGAGCCAAGGAACTGGGAGCCTTTAGAAGCTGGGATAAGTGAGAAGCAGATTCTTGCCTGGAATCCTCAGAGGGAAGGCAGCCTTGCTGTCACCTTGATTTTAGCCCAGTAAGATGCACTTCCTACTTTGAGCTACAGCACTGTAAGATAATTAAAAAACCGTTTTGTTTTCACCCACGAATCTTGTGGAAATTTGTTATGGCAACAATAGGAAAAGGTTCCGCACTGCACAGCCTGAGCATGGGGCCGTGGCTGAATGAGTCAGTGAGTCGAAGTGTGCGTGCATGAGCTCCGTTCTCTGTTACGGCAAGGCTGTTGCTCTGCTGAGTCAGCCAGGGTTGCTTCATGACCAACAGTAATTCATTCCTTGGCAAGTGGAACTTCTCTAAAACACCTCGCCCTCATCAGATGTTCCCTTCCCTTCCCTCTCTCAAGCCCCCAGGAATTTATCCTCCAGTTAGGAATGCAGGCAGAACAAACATTGCATTTTTCCTGAGAAGGATGTCAGATTGGCAATCATTCTTCTAGCTTGTAGGAGGTCTCAGCTCCATAAAATGAGAGATTAAGAGATTTCACTGAGCCCTAGGTTGGGCCCAGATCCCTTTCGCTGTTGGAGTATCTGGAGTTCGGAGATGGTAGAAGACAGGCGTACAATGTCAGAGCTGCGAGATGCTGAGTCAATGCCTGCATCGAAGGTTTCTACCTCCCCAGGTTTCCAAAAGCGGATATAAGAGGGTTCTGTACTCACCGGTTTCGGAGCTTGGTTCAGTGGGTGAAGGCCAACTATTTGAAGGGTTTCCTAGAACACGAGACAGGAGAGAGGTGAGGAAATGAGGGTGTCTGTCCTCTACTCAATGGAAATCTTTGAGGTTGGTTCATGGCCAACACTCTGTTATCTAATATTGGGCCCTGGGAGTCCTGGGATCCTTTTTTCCGTAATTTTTGTATGTGACGCCCACTGTCTTGAGACTTCAAGGTATAAAGAGAAAACAGGAGCATCACACTACCTGATCTCAAAATATGTTACAGAGCTGTAGTAAGCAAAACAGCATCACATTGGCATAAAGAAAGGCACGTAGAACAATGGAGCAGAATGAAGAACACAGATATAATCCATGCATTTACCTCCAATGTTTTTTTCTTTTTTCTTTTGAGATGGAGTCTCGCTCTGTCACCCAGGCTGGAGTGCAGAGGTGCAATCTCGGTTCACTGCCACCACAGCCTCCTGGGTTCAATCAATTCTCTGGCCTCAAACTCCTGAGTAGTGGTATTACAGGTGCTGACCACCATGCTCAGCTAATTTTTATATTTTTAGTGGAGACAATGTTTCATCACGTCGGCCAGACTAATCTTGAACTCCTGGCCTCAGGTGATCCACCCGCCTTGGGCTCCCAAAGTGCTGAAATTGCAGGTGTCAGCCACCATGCCCAGCCCATCCAATGGACTTTGACAAAGGTGCCAAGAACTCACAATCAGGAAAGGACAGTCTTTTCAATAAACAGTGCAGGGAAACCTGGACATCTACATGCAGAGGAATGAAACTGCACCTCTACCTGTCACTATACACAAAACTCAAATGAAAATGGATTAAAGATGTGAGTCTAAGGCCTGAACCTATGAAACACGTAGAAGAAAATATTGGGGAAATGCTCCAGGACATTTGTCTGAAGGAAGACATTTTGTTTTAAACCTTCAAAACACAAGTAATCGAAGCAAAAATAGACCATTGGGATTACCTCAAACTAAGCAACTTCTGCACCGCTAAAAATAAACCAACAAAGTGAAGAGACAACCCACAGATTGGGAGCAAATATGTGCAAACTATGCATCTGAGATGGGATTAATAACTAGAAATATAAGAAGCTCAAACAACTCAATAAAACAAACGATTTAATTGAAAAAGGAGCAAAACACATGAAATTTCCCCACATACTAAAAAGTGCTCAGTTTCACTCATCATCAGAGAAACACAAATTAAAATCAAAGTGAGTTTTCATCTCACCCCATTAAAATGGATTTTAGGCCGGGCGTGGTGGCTCACGTCTGTCATCCTAGACCTTTGAGAGCCTGAGGTGGGTGAACCTCATAAGGTCGGGAGTTTGAGACCAGTCTGACCCACATGAAGAAACACTGTCTCTACTAAAAATACAAAATTTAGTTGGGCGTGGTGGCGTGTGCCTGTAATTCCAGCTACTCGGGAGGCTGAGGCAGGAGAATCGCTTGAACCTGGGAGGTGGAGGTTGTGGTGAGCCGAGATCGCACCACTGCACTCCAGCCTGGGTGACAAGAGCGAAACTCCATCTCAAAATAAAATGAAATAAAATAAAATGGCTTTTAGCTGCAAGACAGGCAAAGGAAATCCTGCCAAAGTGGTAGAGAAAGGAGAACCCTAATACCCTGTTGGTAGGAGTGTAAATTAGTACAGCCTTTACGGAGAAAAGTGTGGAAGTCCTTTAAAGAACTAAAAAGAGGTTGGGTGAGGTGGATCATGCCTGTAATCCCGGCACTTTGGGAGACCGAGGCGGGCACCTCAGTTGAGGTCATGAGTTTGAGAGCAGCCCAGCCAACATGGGGAAACCCCATCTATACTAAAAAAAACAAAAAGTAGCCAGGCATGGTGGCGTGCACCTGTAATCCCAGCTACTAGGGAGGCTGAGGCAGGAAAATCATTTGAACCCAGGAGGCGGAGGTTGCAATGAGCCAAGATGACTTCACTTGTACTCCAGCCTGGGCACAGAGGGAAACTGTCTCAAAAACAAAAACAAAACAACAAACGAATAACTAAAAAGAGAACTTTCATAGTATCCAGCAATTTCACTACTGGGTTTATATCCAAAGGAAAGTAAATCAATATATCGAAGTGATATCTGCACTCGTATGATTGGTGCAGCACTGTTCACAGTAGCCAAGATGTGGAGTCAACCTACCTGCCCATCAGTGGATGAATGGATAGAGAGAATGTAGTACATACGCACAGTGGAGACTACTCATCCATAGAAAGAATAACATCCTGATATTTGCAGCCACATGGATGGAACTGGAAGTCATTACAAAGATTCCCATTTCTCACCCATATACAGAGCTAAAAGGTGGATCTCATGAAGGTAGAGAGTAGAATGGTGGCTTCCAGAGGCCAGGAATAAAAGGGTGGAGGGTAAAAAAAAAAAAAAAAAAATATATATATATATATATATATATATATATATATATATATATATGTTTATATATGTGTGTGTGTGTGTATATATATATATATATATATATATATATATAAATGTATTTATGACCACTAGACTTTACACTTAAAAATGGTAAATGTGGCTGGGCGTGGTGGCTCATGCCTGTAATCCCAGCACTTTGGGAGGCAGATGCGGGTGGATCACGTGGTCAGGAGTTGGAGACCAGCTCGACCAACATGGTGAAACCCCCTCTCTACTAAAAATACAAAAAGTAGCCTGGCGTGGTGGTGCGCGCCTGTAGCACCAGCTACTCAGGTGGCTGAAGCAGGAGAATCACTTGAACCCAGGAGGCGGAAGTTGCAGTGAGCTGAGATTGTGCCACTGCACTCCAGCATAGGGGACAGAGCTAGACTCTGCCTCAAAAAAAAAAAAAATGTTAAAGGTGGTAAGCTATATAGGTATATTTATCCTCAATAAATATTTCTTCAAACAAAAGTAAAGGGTGTAGGGGTTGCTGGTGATGACATCCCTGTGTGGGTGAGAGGCCAGGATGGGCTTCTGGGAAATGGGTAATGTTGAGGGGCTGAGGGAACCTCTGATCTTCCCAAACTGAGCCCAGTCTCTCTCCTCTGGGTCTCTCCTGACCGTTTTCTCCATCTGCCTGTGTGCCTGGAGCCCTGGCCGCGGGCCTTCATGCAGGCCGTGTAGGAGGGTTTGGAGGTGCCCTGTCTGCCATCCTGTGCCCTGATCCCTCCCTCACACCCAAGCTTCGTCTTCTCTCTGCATCTGTCCATGCTTCTCTCCATCATCAGCAGGAAGCTCCTCAGCTAAGGCTCTAGGATCATAGGACATGAGACAGATATGGGGTTTCCTCACCTGTGACAGAAACAAGCAGTGGGTCACTCGAGTTTGACCACTCGTATGGAGAGTCACGGAAAGAGCCGAAGCATCTGTAGGTTCCTCCGTGGGTGGCAGGGCCCAGAGGAAAGTCGGCCTGGAATGTTCCGTTGACCTTGGGCCCTGCAGAGAACCTACGTTCATGGGCCTCCCCCTCCCTGGATAGATGGTACATGTCATAGGAGCTCCGGGAGCTGCAGGACAAGGTCACGCTCTCTCCTGCCAGAACCGTGGGGCCCGGCTGGGCTGAGAGAGAAGGTTTCTCATATAGACCTGGAGGAGAAGAGGCATTTTCCTTACGGAGGATCTTCCTTGTCACAGCTCCCTTCACCTGAGCTGAGAACTCACTCCCCTGCTCTATGACCTAATGCTCTCTCTCTCTCTCTCTCTCACCCTCCACCCCATCTCTCTTCATGTCTATTTCCTTCTTCCACCTTCTCTGTCTCTCTAGGTCTCTGACCTCGCTTCCCCACCTCTAGATATGTTTTCCCTTTTTGGATTCTTTTATTCTCTCTGACTCTCCTTGGATTGGTTGACTTGATGTTACTTTTTTAAATTCTAAGTTTCTCACGTTGTGTCCTGTTCATAACTTTCTGCATATTTCTATCTATTATCTGTCGATCTATCTATTTATCTATTCGGTGCCTATCTACAAATTCTCTACCTGTCATCTATATCTATATATCATCTATGTATCTATCACTTGTCTATCTATCCATCAATCATCTGTTATTTATATGTATGTATCATCTCTCTCTCTATGATTTCTGTCTGCCTCTCTATCTGTACGTATTATCTGTCTTCATCATCATCATCTCTATGTATTATCTATTAATGAATCAATCAATCATCATCTATGTATCTTTAACCTATTATCTATCATCTACCTATTTATCATCTATCTATATCTATCCATCTATCATCTGTCTTGCTCTGCCTCTCGGTCTCTCTAGTTCTCTTTGGAATCTCTGCAATTCATCCCCACATCTCCATGTTTCTATGTCCTTGTGCCTCTCTCTCAGGACTCTAATTTTAGTGCTTTTCTCTGCTCCCTGCCATCATTCTCACCACTCCTCTGCCCTCTTTTCTCTCTCTTTATGTGTCTGTGAGTCTCTCAATCTCCTTCCTCTGGCTCATTCTCTGTGTGTTTATGTCTTTGCTTTTTGGTGTTCCTGATTTTTCTCTGTGCCTCTCAGTGATCCTTTCATATGTGGGGTTATTTGGAATGTGAGCCACAGAATCCAGTCTGGAGACCACAAGTTCACACAGCATACAGGGGTTGGTGTTCTGGGGCCATGATATCCTGGGACGATTACTCTCCATTACATGGAAGGCAGAGGTGTCAGAATAAACATGGCCTGTAGGTGCCACAAGGCCTGAGGCCACAGGGCCCAACTCAGGTCATAAATATGGGTGTCCTTGGGTTCTCCTGGTAGAGAACACTTTGTGGAGGTAAAACAGAAATGAAACTTCTAACCTGTGCCAGGTCTGTGAGCAAAGTCAGCATGGAGGGACACCTCTCTCTGGGACATGTCTGTCTGTCTGTCTCTTTTAACTCTTTCTGTCTTTTCTAACTCCCTGTATGGCCCCTGTGTCTGTCCTCTGTTATGACACCTGGTCTGTACTTGTGTCTCCTGTTTCTCTGTCTCTGTTGGTACAAACCTCAGCAAGTCAGTCTCTCTCCATAAGAATACCAAGCTCATCTTCCTTACAACTACCTGGGGGTTCCAAGTCGTGGATCATTCACTCTGCATCCCAATGACAATGAGAATGTCCGGACACTCTCACCTGTGATGACGATGTCCAGAGGGTCACTGGGAGCTGACAACTGATAGGGGGAGTGAGTAACAGAACCGTAGCATCTGTAGGTCCCTGCAAGGTCTTGCATCATGGGACCGATGGAGAAGTTGGCCTTGGAGACCCCATCATGGTGCTCTCCAATGAGGTGCAAAGTGTCCTTAAACTTCCCTTCTCTGTGCAGAAGGAAGTGCTGAAACCTGACATCTGACCAACATTGCAGGATGACTGTCTCTTCTGATTTCACCAGGGGACCTGGGTGGGCCAGGAGGGAAGGTTTTCTGTGGACTCCTAGGAAGAGAGGTTGTGAGTTTAGAAGGTGTCTCTCTTTATCATCCCATCCATGGCACCTAGAATGAGTGAGGCTTCCCCTTGCTGGTGTCTGTCTCTCTCCTTCCTCTCTGTGTCTTCATGTTCTTTTCTGTGCCCTTAACTCCTGGTGCAGGTCCTTCCATCTGTCTCCCTCCCTCTTCTCTGTCCCTCTGTCTCTAGTAGCCTCTGATTCCCTTCCCACTGGGCTGAGCCTCATCTCTTGGGGTGTTGTATCTATTTCACACTAATGTATTTCCTGCTGTTTATGTGGGGGTGAAAGAGGAACCAGGATAGGCTGCACATCCAGGCTCTTATCAGCCTGGTTCAATCTCTTTTGGATGAATTGCAATCCTTGGCAGAAGGTATGAACTGATGAATAAGGCAGGCACCAGTGTCCACACACCCTGTTCCTGGTGGGGACTGGGAGCCACTCTTGCCATGCCTGTGCCTTCTCCATGGTGCCAGCTTCCATAGGCTGGCTCCTGGTGCTGGTTGGAGGAGTATCAACCCCTCCCTATGTGGATGGAGCCTGGTGGTGGCATCATCATCCCACCCTTGCTGATCTCAGGGTAGCCAACCTTCTCCTTGTTTGGTTTCTTTAATTAATTAATTAATTATGGAGACAGAGTCTCACTCCTTCACCCAGGCTGGAGTGAAGTGGTGTGGTCTAGGCTCACTGCAACCTCTGTCTCCTGGGTTCAAGTGATTCTCCTGCCCTCAGCCTCCTGAGTCGCTAGGATTACATGCACCTGCCACCATGCCTGGCTTTCCTTGGGTTGTTTCTTAACTTGTCCTTGACCTGGGTTCCAGTGTTGGTTTCCTGTTGCTGCTGTAGAAAATTATCAGAAGCATGGCAGCAGGAGAGACCACACTGACACCTTCCAGTACTGGAGACAGAAATTGGACCCTATTTTTCCTGGGCTAAAATCAAGGCATCTGCAGGGCTTTGTTCCCTCTGGAGACTCTGGAGAATCAGTTCCTTGACTTTTCCAGCCTCTATAGGCCACCTGCATTCATGGATCTTGGCCTTCCTCCACCTTCAAAGCTGGTGAAGACTTCCACTGGACTGCTCTAATCCCCACTCCCCTCTTCCTCCTCCTTTCATGTGCACCCTTGTGATTACACTGAGCCCAGTGGGACAGTCCAGGCTGTCTCCCCATGAGCTCCATCTTCCCCTTCAGTCCCTTCCCCTATAACATAAATAGTCACAGACTCCAGGGATTAGAATGTAGTCATCACTGGGGACAATTATTCTTCCCACCACAGCACCCATTTCCCTGTATTCAATCCCCCTTTACCACAAATACAGTCAGGGCCTGCGTGATGGGACCCTCAAGGACATGCCCAACAGAAGCTCTGGGATTCAGGAGGTGGGACAAGGAGAATCCAAGACAGGAGCCCTCTGACCTATGACCACGATCACCAGGGGGTTGCTGGGTGCTGACCACCCACTGGGGGAGTGTGTGTGTGAACCCCGACATCTGTATGTCCCTGTGTGTGCGGGGGTCACAGGGCCCATGAAAAGGCTGTTCCAGAATATTCTGTTGTAGAGCTCAGGGACAGGCACCCCACCTTCCTTTTACAGACTGAAGTTGTTAAACCCAAGATAAGAGTGACACCGAAGAATGACATGTCCTAGAGGCACCACAAGGCTGGGCCAGGCAGACAGCAAGGGCTTGTCCTGACCACCTTGGGGAGAAGGAGGCGCCGCCTTAGAGAGGAGGATGTGGAACTGCCCTTCCCTCCCTGTGCTCAGAAGATTCTCCTCGCTTTCCACGTTTCTATGGCTACTATCACACCTTGGTGCCCAGGGCTGAAGGAAGGACCCATCCCGCAAAGACATGGTGTCTCCCTACAACAAAAGCCTCAGCTGAGAACTTTGAGCAAGTGCTGAGTAAAGAGACTCCTACTAGATTTTAATACTGTAAGATTACTCACATAAAACAACACAGGGTAGACATGAGGTGGAGGGCATGTCCTTTGTGAATGGATATCAGCGGATGCCTGAACGAAAATAAACAACTGAGCCCCCATCAGAGGATTTGGAATGTCAGGGCCATGGCTGTGGTTTCCCACCTCTTCTGGTAGAATGACAGCAGCCACACTGCAGCCCCTACCATCATGGAAACGCTGAAGTGTGTGAGTAACACCTTTGTCCTCAGAGGATCTGCTGTTCCTACCACTTCCCAACCACACACCCCAGCTTTGAGCACCCCAGTCTAACCCTGGTCCCCACAGAACTTGACTCTGCCAAGGGGTTGAGAGGCCAGGGAGGCGAGGTCAGAAATGTGGGCTGAGCACCCCAGGGTCCTCTCTTCCTAGTTTATGAGAGACTCCCCGACAGGACTTCCCTCCTGTTTCAGGAAAATCCTCTTATGTGGGGAGATGACACCCGAAGGTTTGGAGAAGGACTCACCCTCATGTGGCCAGGCCCCCTGCAGCAAGAAGAACCCTGGAAAGAAAGATCATGATGGACCATCCATCTGCAGGCAAACCAGGCCTCCCTTGCTGCCCCCACTGGGCTGTGAGTCTTGGCAGCCAGGCCCTTCCTGGGCTGAAGTTAAACTCACCCTCAGTGCCTACCTGCACCCAAGAACAGGGCTGTCGGCTGTGCAGAGACCCAGTTTCCAGGCCCATATCCCCACCCCAAGCCCATATCTCCACTCCAGGCTGATATTTCCACCCTAGGCCCATATCGCCAATCCAGGCTCAGATCTCCACCCTAGGCCCCTATCTCCAATCCAGTCCCATATCTCCGCCCCAGGCCCAGATCTCCACCCTAAGCCCATATCTCCACTCCAGGCCCATATCACCTCTCCAGTCCCATATCTCCACACCCAGGCCCATATCTCCTTCCTAGGCCCATATCTCCACTCCAGGCCCAGATATCCATCTCTAGGCCCATAACTCCACTCCTGGCCCATATCTCCACTCCAGGCCCATATCTCTACTGCAGGCCCGTATCTCCACCTCCAGACCCATATCTCCACTCCAGGCCCATATCTCCACCTCCAGGCCCATATCTCCACCTCCAGGCCCATATCTCCACTCCAGGCCCATATCTCCACTCCAGGCCCCTATCTCTACTGCAGGCCCATATCTCCATCTCCAGGCCCATATCTCCATCTCCAGGCCCATGTCTCCACTACAAGCCCATATCTCTACTGCAGGCCCATATCTCAACCTCCAGGCCCATATCTCCACTCCAGGCCCAGATCTCCACTCCAGGCCCAGATCTCCACTTCTAGGCCCATCACTCCATCTCTAGGCCCATAACTCCACTTCCAGGCCTATATCTCCAACTCTGGGCCCCGATCTCCATCCCCGCACTCCCTCCCTCGATGCCCTTCCAGGACTCACCAACACACACCATGCTGACGACCATGAGCGACATGGTGCTGTCTGTGCAGACAGGCGGCCGCGCCCCAGCTCAGCTCAGCAGCGCACAGGATGTTATTTGGCGCCCTGCCCATGCAGTTTACATGTTGACCACATCATGGGAGGGTGACGTACGCAGGCTCTTTCTACCTTGCATGAGGCCCAGTGGGTGCTCGCTCAAGAGCGGAACATGGCTTCCTGGAAATTGTTCTCACTAGAATTGACACCTTGCGTCCTTCACTACGACCAGACTCAAAAGACGTCTCAGATCCAACCTCTCATACACGAGATGATTGAATTCTGTGCTTACATTAAAGATTTTTGATGTATTTTTGTTTTTATCTGAGATTCAAACTCTTCTTCATATGTAATGTGCAAAATGTCTAACAGGTATTATTAACATTATCAGAGTAATTGTGACAAGAAGCCATTCTAATTTTCCTGCTTGAGTTTCTACTACTAAACCAGAGGCATCAGAATAGCTTGAACCTGGGAGACGGAGGTTGCAGTGAGCTGAGCTCAAGCCACTGAACTCCAGCTTGGGTGACAGAGGAAGAGTCTGTCTCAAGAAAAAAAAAAAAAGCAAACTAAATAACCTATAATAACAAATCAGAGGACTCAGGTTACCAAATTTTAAGGGGTTCTATAAGTTTATATAAAATGCAGCATCCTCATGAGAGGGGATACAGAGAACCACTGGACAGAAAACTGTGTCTAAAATACATCTGTGGATACACAGTCCCTTTATAGTTGACAAAGGCTGCCATGTAGTTTAAGGTGGAATAGAATATTTTCTCAACAAATAACACAGGACCATAGGGTTACACGTAGGAAAAAATAAATCTAAACTTATCCTCACACTATAAAAACACTTCTTATTTTTTATCTTGTTGTTGTAAATTTTTTATGCTTTATTTTTAAGATTGACAAATAAAAATTATATACCATGGTCCTTCACTATACCTGGGTGATTGGTTCCAGGATCCCCATTCAGATACCAAAATCTGCAGATGCTCAAGCCCCTTGCATGAAATGGCATAGTGAAGCTGGGCACCGTGGCTCACGCCTGTAATCCCAGCACTTTGGGAGGCTGAGCTGGGTAGATCACAAGGTCAGGAGTTCAAGACCAGCTGGTCCAACATTCTGAAACCCCATCTCTACTAAAAATATACACACAAAAAAATTTATCTGTGCAGGGTGGCACGTGCCTGTAATCCTAGGGGAGGCTACTGGGGAGGCTGAGGGAAGAGAATCGCTTGAACCTGGAAGGCGGAGGTTGCAGTGAGTTGAGATCACGCCACTGCACTCCAGCCTGGGTGAGAGAGTGAGACTGTCTCAAAAAAAAAAAAAATAGCATAGCAATTGCATAGAACCCATGCACATCCTCCTGTATACATGAAATCATCTCTTGATTACTTATAATTCCTGACACAGCCTACACGCCACTCAATTTGTGTCGATTCAACATAGTTTTTTGCTTTTTGAAACTTCGGGGATTTTTTTTCTCAAAATATTTTTGATTTATTGCTGATTCAATAAACATGTGTAAACCCCAGAGATATGGAGGAGTGACTGTCTATTTATAGTAGTATGAAAGATGATGTGTTGATACGTGTCCCTGTGGAGATGAGACTAACAAGGCCTATGACTCTACAAATGTTTCATCGTGGAATGACTCTGCCAGCTTTCCAGATCTGCAGAGAGTAAGAATATCACTTGTTCATCTGATTCACCATCCTTGGAACCTCCTATGTGCTGCATCTTTGGATGGAAATTGGAGTCTCAGAGACAATTCAGGCTCCACCCTGCTTCCAGAAGCTCAGAGTCCAGGGGTGAGAACCCAGCGGAGAACAGATGGGGTTATGTGGACGTGGTAATGATAACACCGGAAGCCTTAGGCAAGAAAAGAGTCCCATTGACGAAACCATGAGGGCAGACATGTTTACTTGAAGAAGAGAAAACTACATTGAAATTATAAAAAAAATTTATAAGTTTTACTGCTGACAGAAGGCTGAAAGATACTCTGAGGAAAGGTGGAATAGCACGTATCTAAGTGCCGTGTTAAGAGGGAGCCTCTTATATGTTTGGAATTGTGAGTTCCTCAGTGTGATCGCAGCCTCAAGTAGACTAGGAAGTAAGCCAGTTAGGTTGGAGAGGTGGGCAGGGGTCAAGTGAAATGGAGAATTGTGGGCTAAGCAAGTGTGTTTTCTCTCCAGCAGGCAGTGGGGACCTTAGACATTTGTAAGCAAGAGAGAGGCATGTTCAGATTCGTGGTGTGAGGAAGAGCGATGCCCTAAGATGCAGACTCACGCCTTCAGAGTCCAGCTGCTGGTACATGGGAGCTGGCAACCCGGTTTTGAGACAGGGCTATTGTCTCCCTAGAAGATCCCATCAAGGCCTGACTGTGGTGCTAGTGGACAGAAGACAACTTTGGATCTGCGCTCAGCATTTGGAAGTTCCGTGTTACACGCTGGTATCTGTTGGGGGTGTCTTGGGCCTCTGAGAAGGGCGAGTGATTTTTCTCTGTGTGAAAACGCAGTGATTCAACTGTGCGTATGTCACCTCCTGAGGGTCTTGTTCATCAGAGTCCTGGAGGGAGGGAAATGCTGAGTGAGGGAGGGTGCTCACATTTTCCAGGACTCTTTGGGAATAAGACTAGCCACGAGGCTGGGCGGAGGAGCACCTACCTCCCTGTTCACTGTTCTGTTCCCTGCAGGCTCTTGGTCCATTACAACAGCATCTGTAGAAGACGGAAGTCGTCAAAACAGCTCGGAGGGCACTTCTGGGTCCTCATTTCATAAGCAGATACCAACATACAGGGGGAGGCCATAGGTGCCTGAGGTCCCTCAGTTGCCAACAGCAGACTCAGACATTCTATCTCTCTGAGCTCAAGGATCCATCCCATGTATAGCTCTGAGTTCCCATCCTATTGATTCTGTGTCCCACTTTCTGCCTGTCATGGAACCTTCTCCTGGATGTGAGTGGCTGCAGGGGATGTGAGGATACGGTTCAGAATCAGGCAATGGTCTGTGAGCTGAAGGCAGAGGCAGGGAGTCTGGTGCTCTCTCTAGAAAGTCCTGCCTCTGTGGCTCCTGCCTTGGGCCAGGGACCATCCTGCCTGTGAGGAACACACACCTGAGTGCTCCCATCCTGCTTCCCCACATGGCCCTGAGCTCTCTGGCTTCTGCTTCGTGAGACTTACTCTTTTTGTTGGCACACCAGCGATGAAGGAGAAAGAAGAGGAGGATAGCAAAGGGGATGATGACCACTGAGGTCCCAATCAGAACGTGCAGGTGTCTGGAGTTACCTGGAGGAAGACAAGACACCAATAAGAAGCTAATCATAGCAGTTCCTCTATATGAATTGTCTCACATTTCTTGATTGACAGGTAACCACATACAACGTCTCTTTAGGACAAGCACCCAGATGGCGGGAGACCTAGCTTCCTCCTGCTTTCTCAGTTGTAGTAACCATAGAACGTGCTGAGGATACAACTGCTTTAGTTTAGATGTTTGACCCCTTCAAACCTCACATTGAAATGTAACCCCCAGGGTGGGAGGTTGGGCCTCTTGGGAGTTGTTTGGGTCATGGAGGTGGATCCATCATGAACAGATCAATGCTGTTCCAAGGAGACGGGGTTAGCAAGTTCCCCCTCTATTAGTTCCTGGAGAACTGGTTGTTAAAAGAGCTTGGAAGCTCCATCGCTCCCCCTCCCCCTTGGTCCCTCTCTTGCCGTGTGATCTCTGTGGTCTCTGCACAGACAGACCCTCCTTCCCTTCTGCCAGAGTGGGAGCAGCCTGAGGCCGTCACAAGAAATAGATGCTGGTGCCATGCTTCCAGTACAGCCTGCAGAACTGTGAGGCAAACACATTTCTTTTCTTTAGAAGTTACCCAGGCTCAAGTGTTCCTTTAGAGCAACAAAAATGGACTAAGACAGCAACGTCCTGAGATCAGGAGGAACATCCCAGAACAGCCTGGGCTGTCTTCCTGTTCTTCCTGGAGGAGGACGT
The DNA here is from genome assembly GCF_000001405.40 of Homo sapiens. Classification (NCBI taxonomy): domain Eukaryota; kingdom Metazoa; phylum Chordata; class Mammalia; order Primates; family Hominidae; genus Homo; species Homo sapiens. Next base: position 13,473 of record NT_187671.1, on the reverse strand, counting down.
CATGCAGTGCTTTAGCTGAGTGCTTCCTGTGGCTCCAGGGTACAAAACCCAGGCTGGGCTGCTTTTTGATTTCCCCCAGATACACTGCATATGGGGTGACTCCCCATGTCTCGAGCAGCTTTTCTGAGCCTTGAGGGACTGGCTCACATTGAAATGTAGGTTTCTGTTGTCACTCGCTGCTTATCTGTTAGTAATGAACCTGCCTGTGTAATGTGTTCTCTGTGTGTTCTGTCTCCCTGGAGTGACGGTGAGTGATAGGAATTGGTATAGGCCCAGGTGCATTCCAGGAGGTGTTTAGAATCTTCTCTGGGAAGACTGGATTGGGATTGATACACAGCGAATGTGCTTTACAGTTTCTACCACCACAACCCTCTTGACTCAAAAAAAATTACATTCTCCAAGAAAAGAAAGAAAAAATGAAATCAAGATAAAAAAAGTGAAGTAGAACTGACTTAAATCAAACAGCCATGAAATAATGATGTAGCCCAGGAACAACATGCTACTTTTTGTGATCTGCTGAGACATATATTAGGCTGCTATTCCACCCGAGAAGCACGGGGAAGGACCGCCCTCTCCGTCGTTTATTGTTTCAATACAGCCTGTCCTTCTGTGAGTTAGTACGAAATGTGACCAGGGGCTAGTGCTGGCACTGGTCTCTGAGTCCAAGATCTGAGCTCACTCCAAAGAGTATTAGTGTTTACCTCCCCATGATCTATCTGTATCTCCATAGGTGATTGGAAGTAGAGATGAATTGGGGGATTTGGGTGAAGGGGCAAGTTTTATGCCATGAACAGAGCACGTTCTCTATTCCAGGACCTGTGCTGGTGGGTTCAGGAGGCTTTCACATTTTCCATATGATCCCAAGCTCACAGAAAGCCAAATAAGGAAGAGGTTTAACCTGATTGTTTAATGGATAAGATAAAGGGTCAAAGAATTAAACACAGAGAAATAGAAAAATGATGGTTGGTATCCAGTTGCCTTTGTAATTTCTGTGTGTCATAATTATGTATGTTTTATTTTTATTTTTTGAGACAGAGTCCCCCTGTGTCAGGCTGGAGTGCAGTGATGCGATCTCAGTTCAACCTCTGCCTCCAGGGTTGAAGCCATTCTTCTGCTTCAGCCTCCCCAGTCGCTGGGATTACAGGCAGGTGCCAATGCACCAGGCTAATTTTTGTATTTTTAGTACAGACGGGGTTTCACCATGTTGGCCAGGCTGGTCTCAAACTCCTACCCTTAAGTGATCTACCCGCCTTGGCCTCCCAAAGTGTTGGGTTACAGGTGTGAGCCCCCATCCACAGTCTTGTATATTATATTATACTAGGTCCCTTCATTTGCACCACCCCTCATGTGTCTATCGCTCCTCTGCCAGGTATTGATTTAGATGTAGAAAAAAAACACATCTCAGAAAGAAATTAATGAAACAAGGATTAAACTACTAGGAAAAATCAAACCCAGCAAGCCCTCCCTGCAAATGATTCTACCTCACAAGCATAGCTTATATCCATCTTTCATTCATTTAGTGTGTAAATCAACCCTACGTTTCACCAGTGGGGCGGGAATTGCCTTTTCCACGGTCTCCTAGATTCCAGTTACGCACCTGGGCCTCCCTTATTTTCATGTCGGTCACTGTTAATCAGGTAGGGATTCCTAGTTAGCTCTGAGTTGAATCCAAGGGCTGTGAGTATCAAAAACATGCTCCTTGTTCCTCCTTAGTTTCCTGTGTACCCAGTGTGCTCTCCATCTCTCTACAGTTGTCTTGTCATTCTCCCCATCTCATTCCCAGCATTTGAGGCAGAGCCTCTTCCTTGAACTAAGAATGTTTCCACCTTTGTGCCTTCACGGCTGAGAGCTCAGTGTGGAAAATCCTTCCGCCAATCTTCCAAGGGTTGAATCCATTTTTTCCATTAAGGTCACAAATATTATCTGATCAGTGAGACCTTCTCTGTCACCTGAAATTATATACTCAGCATTATCTATTACTTATTTTAAATCCTGGCTGGGCGCAGTAGCTCTCGCCTGTAATCTTTGCACTTAGGGACGCTAAGGCGGTGGGATCACTTGAGATTGGGAGTTTGAGACAGCCTGCACAACATGGTGAAACCTCATTTCTACTAAAAAATATACCAAAAAAATTAGCCGAGTGTGGTGGCGCACAGCTGTAATCCCAGCTACTCGGTAGGCTGAGGCAGGAGAATTGCATGAACCCAGGAGGCAGAGGTTGCAATGAGCTGAGATTGTGCTACTGCACTCCAGCCTGTGGAACAGAGAGAGACTCTACTCAAAAAAAAAAAAGAAAACAAAAAACACACACACACACAAAAAACCCCAGATTTGGTGCACAGATGCTTCCCAATGGATCATTCATTTATTGGTACCCTTGTGCATTCATTCTCTGCCCTCGCATTTACCCATCTGCAATATCAGCGTCCCAAGAGCAGAGGCCAAATGCATCCTGTTTACCATTTGTGGAAGGCAGGAGAATGCTGCCCCACCCCCAAAATGTCCCTGTCTTAGCCTCCATAGCTTGTGAATATGTTATTTTACAGGAAAGGAGGAATGAAGATTGCAGATGGCATTACGGTTGCTAATCAGCTGAACTTAAAAAGAGGGTACGCTGGATGATTTTAGGGAGATTGAGATGGATTATCTTGGTGACCCCAATAGAATCCCAAAGTCCTTAAAAGATGAGGAAGAAGGCAGAGCAGGATTCAGAGAAAAAGGTATGGGTAAAGAAGAAGAGTCTGAATGATGCCATGTGAGACGTGACCAGCCTTTGTGGGCTTTGAGGAAGGAGGAAGGAGGAAGGGGACCAGGGGCCCAGGAACGTGGGAGCCTCTAGGAGCTGGGAAACGTTAAGGAGCAGATTCTTGCTTGGAACCTTAAAAAGAAATCCAGCCTTACTGTCCCTTTGATATCAGCCCAGTGAAATGCAGTTCATACTTCTGAGTTACAGCACTGTGAGATAATTAAGAAAAACATGTTTTCATCCACGAAGCTTGTGGAAATTTGTTATGGCAACAATAGGAAAAGATTCCACACTGCACAGCCAGAGCATGGGGCATTGGCTGAACGAGTGAGTGAGTGGAAGTGTCGTGTGCATAAATAAGCTAAATTCTCTCTTACTGCACGTCTCTTGCTCTGCTGAGTCAACCAGGGTTGCATCTGGTACACTGCTGATACGAATGCAAATTAGTACAGCCATTACAGAGGAGAAGAGTATGGAAGTTCCTCAAAAAATAAAATGAGGTCGGGCACAGTGGTTCATGCCTGTAATCCCAGCACATTGGGAGGCCGAGGTGGGTAGGTCACTTGAGGTCAGGAGTTGAAGAGCAGCCTGGCCAATATAGCGAAACTCTGTCTCTACTAAAAATATAAAAATTAGCCGAGTGTGGTGGTGGGAGCCAGTAACCCAGCTACTTGGGAGGCTGAGGCTGGGGAATCTCTTGAATCCTGGAGGTGGAGGTTGCAGTGAGCCCAGATGGCACCACTGCACTCCAGCCTGGGCAACAAGAGTGAAACTGTCTAAAAAAAACAAAAACAAAAACAAAAACCATAAAACAAAATGTAAAAAGACACTTCCAGAGGATCTAGCAATTCCATGACTGGGTGTAAACCCAAAGGAAAGGACATCAGCGTATCGAAGTGACATCTGCACTCCCATGACTGTTCCAGCAGTGTTCACAGTAGCCAAGATGTGGATCAACCTACCTGCCCATCAGTGGGTGAATGGATGGAGAGAATGTGGTACACACACACAATAGGGACAACTCATCCATAGAAAGAGTAACATCCTGTCATTTACAGCCACATGAATGGAACTGGAGGTCATTACAAGTATTTCCATTTCTCACTCATATGCAGGAGCTAAAAGGTGGATCTCACAAAGGTAGAGAGTAGAATGGTGGCTACCAGAGGCCAGGAAGGGAAGGGTGGAGGGTAAAAAAAAAAGAATACTAATTAATTAATTAATTAATTTTGAGAGAGTGTCTCTCTCTGTTGCCCAGGCTGCAGTGCAGTGGCATGATCTCAGCTCACTGCAACCTCCGCCTCCTGCAATTAAGTGCAACTCCTGCCCAACCCTCCCAAGTAGCTGGGACTACAGGCATGTGCCACCATGCTCGGCTAATTATTATCATTATTATTATTATTTTGTATTTTTAGTACAGATGGATTTTCCCCATGTTGGCCAGGGTGGTCTTGAGCCCCTGATCTCAAATGATCCACCTGCCTTGGCCTCTCAAAGTGTTGGGATTACAACAGTGAGCCACCGTGCCCAGCCTATAAATGTATTTATGAACAGTAGACTTCACACTTAAAAATGGTAAAGGTGGTAAATTACATAGGTATATTTCACCTCAATAAATATTTCTTCAAACAAAAAGAAAAGGGTGTAGGCGTTGCTGGTGATGACATCTCTCTGTGGGTGACAGGCCAGGATGGGCTTCTGGGAAGTGGGTAAGGTTGAGGGGCTGAGAGAACCTCTGATCTCCCCAGGCAGAGCCCAGTCTCCCTCCTCTGGGTCTGTTCTGACCTCTTTCTCCATCTGCCTGGGTGCCTGGAACCCTGATCAAGGGCCTCCTTGCAGGCCATACAGGAGGGTTTGGAGGTGCCCTGTCTGCCATCCTGCCCCCTGACCCCGCCCTTACACCCATGCTGTGTGTTCTGTCTCGGCATCTGTCCATGCTTCTCTCCATCATCAGCAGGAAGCTCCTCAGCTATGGCTCTAGGATCACAAGACATGGGACAGGCATGGTGTTTTCTCACCTGTGACAGAAACGGGCAGTGGGTCACTCGGGTCTGACCACGCGTGGGGCAGGGCACGGAAAGAGCCGAAGCATCTGTAGTTCCCTCCGTGGGTCACAGGGCCCAGAGGGAAGTTGGCCTGGAATGTTCCATTGACCCTCAGCACCGCAGTGAGCCTAAGTTCACCGGCCTCTGCCTCCCTGGATAGATGGTAAATGTCAAACAAGCTCCGGGAGCTGCAGGACAAGGTCACATTCTCTCCTGCCTGAACCGTGGGGCCCGGCTGGGCTGAGAGAGAAGGTTTCCCATATAGACCTGGAAGGAGAAGAGGTGGTTTCCTCAGGGAGGTTCTTCGTTGTCACAGCTCTCCTCACACCTGAGCTGAGAACTCACTCCCCTGCTCTATGACTTAATGCTCTCTTTCTCTCTCTCACCCTCCACCCCCATCTCTCTTCATGTCTATTTCCTCCTTCCACCTTCTCTGTCTCTCTAGGTCTCTGACCTCACTTCTCCATCCCTAGCTATGTTTTCTTTTTTTGTACCATTTTATTCTCTCTGACCCTCCTTGGACTGGTTGACTTGATCTTCCTCTTTCTTTAATTCTGAGTCTCTCACTTTCTGTCTTGCTCATAACTTTCTGCATATTTCTATCTACTATCTATTGATCGATCTATCATTTATCTATGTATGTATCTATCATCTATCATCATCTGTGTATCTATGACCTATCTCTCTGTTATCTATCATCTATCAATCAATGTATGTATGTATGCATCTATCCATCTATCATCATGTGTTTATCTTTCTATCTCTCTATATCTATTTATATATCATCTGTCTGTCTTTCTACTTGTCTATCTATATCATCTATCAGTCATTCATCATCTATTTGTCTATCACCTGTCTCTCTATTATCTATCATCTACCTTTTATCTTTCATCTATCTATATCTATCTATCCATCTATCATCTGTCTCTCTCCATCTCCTTGTCTTTCTCTGCCTCTCAGTCTCTCTAGTTCCCTTTTGGAGTCTCTGCAATCCATCCCCACATCTTTATCTTTCCCTGTCTTTGTGCCCCTCCCTCAGGGCTCTGATTTTAGGGCTTTTCTCTGCTTCCTTCCATCATACGCTCCACTTCTCTGCCCTCTTTTTCTATCTCTTTATGTGTCTGTGAGTCTCTCAATTCCCTTCTTCTGGCTCATTCTGTGTGTGTGTTCATGTCTTTGCTTTTTGATTTCCCTGATTTCACTCCGTGTCTCTCTGTGGGCTTTTGTTCTCAGTAATCCTATAACATGTGGTGCTATTTGAATATGAGCCTCAGAATCCAGTATGGGGACTCCAGGAACTCACAACATACAGGGGTTGGTGTTCTGCTCCCTCACCTGGGGCCATGGTGTCCTGCGACGACGACAGCTCCACTGCACGGAAGGCAGAGGTTTAAGAATAAACACAGCATCTGTAGGTGCCACCAGCCTGGGGCCACACGGCCCAACTCAGGCCAGATAGATGTGTCTCTTTGGGTTCTCCTGGGAGAGAACACTTTGTAGAGGTAAAACAGAATGGAACCTTCTAACCTGTGCCTGGTCTCTGAACAAAGTCAGCATAGAAGGACACCTCTCTCTGGGATATATCTGTCTCTCTGTGTCTTCTTTACCTCTTTATCTCTTTTTCTAACACCTTGTATGGCCCCTGTGTCTGGCTTCTATGTTATGACATGAGGTCTGTACTTGTGTCTCCTGTTTCTCTGCCTTTGTTGGTACAGACCTCACCAAGTCACTTTCTCTCCATAGGAACCCCACACTCATCTTCCTCATGACCACCTGGGGCTTCCAGTCCTAGATCATTCACTCCATCTCCCAGCAAGGGTGAGAGGCAGGTCTGTATTCTCTCACCTACGACCACGATGTCCAGAGGGTCACTGGGAGCCGACAACTCATAGGGTAAGTGAGTGACAGAACCAAAGCATCTGTAGGTCCCTGCAAGGGCAGGTGTCATGGGACCCATGGAATAGTTGACCTGGGAACCCGCATCGTGGAGCTGTCCAATGAGGCGCAAGGGGTCCTCAGTGATCCCCTCTCTGTGCAGAAGGAAGCGCTCAAACCTGACATCTGACCAACATTGCAGGATGACCGTCTCTCCCGATTTCACCAGGGGACCTGGGTGGGCCAGGAGGGAAGGTTTTCTGTGGACTCCTAAGAAGAGAGGTTGTGAGTTCAGAAGGCGTCTCCCTTTCTCATCCCATTCATGGGACCTGAAATAAGTGAGGCTTCCCCTCCATGGTGTCTATCTCTCTCCTTCCTCTCTGTGTCTCCGTGTTCTTTTGTGCCCATAACCCCTGTTGCAGGTCCCTCCATCTGTCTCCCTCCCTCTTCCCTGTCTCTCTGTCTCTAGTAGCCCTGATTCCCTTCCCACTGTGCTCAGTGTCACCTCTTATGCTGTTGTATCTGTTTCCCACTAATCTCTTTCCTGGTGTTTATGTGGGGGTGGAAGAGGAACCACGACAGGCTGCATGTCCAGGCTCTTAGCAGCCTGAATCAATCTCTTTTGGACAGATTGGAAAGGCTGGCAGGAGGTACGAACTCATCAGTAAGGCAGGCATCAGTGTCCCTGTTCCTGATGGGGATTGGGAGCCTCTCCTGTCATGTCTGTGCCTTCTCCATGGCCCCAGCTTCCATAGGGTGGCCCCTGGTGCTGGTTCCAGGAGCATCAACCCCTCCCTATGTGGATCGAGCCTGGTGGTAGCATCAGTATCCCACCCATGCTAAAATCAGTGTAGCCAACCTTCTCCTTGTTTGGTTTCTTAACTTGTGCTTCACCTGGGTTCCTGTGTTGGTTTCCTGTTGCTGCTGGAGAAAATTGTCACAAACATGGGGCAGGAGAGAATACAATGACCCCTTCCACTTCTGGAGAACAGAAATCGGACCCAGTTCTCTCTGGGCTAAAATCAAGGCATCTACAGGGCTGTGTTTCCTCTGGAGACTCAGGGAAGAATCAGTTCCCTTGACTTCTCCAGCCCTTAGAGGCCAACTGCCTTTGTGGCTCATGGCCTTCCCCCATCTTCAAAGCCCGCTGTGGCTGATGGAGTCTCCCTCCCACGACGTTGCTCTAACCCCACTTTCCTCTTCCTCCTCCTCTCATGAGGACCCTTGTGATTACTCTGAGCACAGCAGGACAGTCCAGGCTGTCTCCCCATCGCAAGGTCAACCCATCAACAACCTGAGCTCCATCTTCCCCTTCAGTCCCCTGCCCTATGACATAAATAGTCACAGGGTTCATGGATTACCATGTAGCCATCACTGGGGACAATTATTCTTCCCACCACAGCAACTATTTCTCTGTACTGAATCCCCCTTTACCCCAAATACAGTCTGGGCCTGGATGATTGGACCCTGATGGACACCCCCACCAGAAGCTCTGGGATTCAGGAGGTGGGACAGTGAGAAGCCCAGACAGAAAGCCTCTGACCTGTGACCATGATCACCACAGGGTTGCTGGGTGCCGACCACCCAGTGGGGGAGTGTGGGTGTGAACTGCAACATCTGTAGGTCCCTGCATGTGCTGGGGTCACAGGGCCCATGAGAAAGCTGTTCCGGAATATTCTGTTGTAGAGCTCAGGGACAGGCATCCCGTCTTCTTTGGACAGACTGAATTCGTTAAACCCAAGACGAGAGCGACACTGAAGAGTCACATGTTGTCCTTCAGACACCACAGTGCCGGGCCAGGCAGAGAGGAAGGGCTTGTCCTGACCACCTGGGGGAGAAGGAGGCACTACCTTAGAGAGGAGGATGTGGAGCCGCCCCTCCCTCCCTGTGCTCAGAAGATTCTCCCATTTCCACGTTTCTAAGGCTCCTACCACACCTGGGTGCCCAGGGCTACAGGAAGGACCCATCCCGCATAGACATGGCGTCTCCCTACAGCAAGTGTCAGCTGAGAACTTTGAGCAGGTGCTGAAGAAGCGACTCTTACTAGATTTTAACACTGCAAAATTACTTACATAAAAGAACACAAGGTAGACACAGGATGGAGGGCATGATCAGCTAATGCATGAACCATAATAAACAACTGAGCCCCTATTAGAAGATCTGGAATGTCAGGGTCATGACTGTGGTTCCCCCACCTCTTAGGTAGAATGACAGCAGCCACATTGCAGCCCCTACCGTCATGGAAACGCTGGAGGGTGTGAGTTATGCTCTTGTCCTCAGAGGCCTGTTGTTCCTTGCACTGCTTCTCTCCCTTCCTCTGCTGGTGACACCACTTCCTCCCTGCACACCACTCCTTTGAGCACTTCAGTCTCCCCCTGGGTCCCCACAGACTCAGCCAAGGGAAAGAAAGGCCGGGGAGGGCTAGGACAGAACTGTGGCGAAGCTTCCCCTGGCTTCCTTTTCCTAGTTCATGAGAGATTCCCACATGGCTTCCCATGGTCAGCCCATCAGTCAACCCCCTGTGTCGCCTGCCTCCCGTTTCAGGAACATCATCTTATGTGGGGAGATGACAACCTAAGGTTTGGGGGAAGGACTCACCCACATGTGGCCAGGGCCCCTCCAGCAAGAAGAACCCTGGAAAGAAAGATCATGATGGATGATCCATCTGTACATCACCTCCAGGCCCATATCTCCACTCCAGGCCCATATCTCCACTTCCGTCCTATATCTCTACTCCAGGCCCATATCTCCACTCCAGGCCTATATCTCCACCTCTGTCCTATATCTCTACTCCAGGCCCATATCTACACTCCAGGCCCATATCTCCACCTCCAGGCCTGTATCTCCACCTCCAGGCCCGTGTCTCCATTCCAGGCCCATATCTGCACTCCAAGCCAACATCTCCACTCCAGGCCCATATCTCTACTCCAGGCCCATATCTACAGTTCCAGGCCCATATCTCCACCTCCAGGCCCATATCTCCACTCTAGGCCCATATCTCCACCTCCAGGCCCGTATCTCAATTCCAGGTCCATATCTGCACTCCAAGCCAATATCTCCACTCCAGGCCCATATCTACAGTTCCAGGCCCATATCTCTACTCCAGGCCCATATCTCTACTTCAGGCCCATATCTACAGTTCCAGGCCCATATCTCCACTCCAGGCCCATATCTCCACCCCAGGCCCATATCTCCACTCCAGGCCTATATCTCCACTCCAGGCCCATATCTCCACTCCAGGCCCATATCTCCACTCCAGGCCCAGATCTCCACCCCACCGCTCCCTCCCTCGATTCCCTTCCAGGACTCACCAACACACGCCATGCTGACGACCATGAGCGACATGGTGCTGCCGGTGCAGACAGGCGGCTGCGCCCCAGCTCAGTTCAGCAGCACACAGGATGTTGTGAGGGGCTCATGCAGTTTACATGCTGACCACATCATGGGAGGATGACGTATGCAGGCTATTTCTACCTTGCATGAGGCCCAGTGGCTGTTTGGTCAAGAGCAGAACATGGCTTCCTGGAAATTGTTCCAACTAGAATTGACACCTTGCATCCTTCACTATAACCAACTCAAAACACGTCTCAGATCCAATCTCTCATACAGGAGATGACTGAATGCTTGGCTTACATTAAAGACTTTTGATGTATTTTTGTTGTTTTTATCTGAGATTCAAACTCTTCTTCATGTGCTATTTTCCCCAGGCTGTTCTTTGACTTCAGAGTTCAAGCAATCCTCCTGCCCCAGCATTTCTAGCAGCTGGCAGTATGTCACAATCTGCCACACCCAAGTCACAACTTTTAGAACTTTTTTTTTTTTTGAGATGCAATCTCACTTCGTCACCCAGTTTGGAATGCAGTGGTGAGACCTCGGCTCATTGCAGCCTCCACCTCCCAGGTTCACGCAATTCTCGTGCCTCAGCCTCCTAAGTAGCTGGATTTACAGGCACCCACCACCACGCCCACCTAATTTTTGTACTTTTAGTAGAGAGGAGGTTTCTCCATGTTGGCCAGGCTGGTCTTGAACTCCTAACCTCAAGTGATCTGTCTACTTCAGCCTCCCAAAGTGCTGAGATTACAGGTGTGAGCCACCATGCCTGGCCGGGACATTCTATATGTGTGCGTATGTGTGCATTTATATACATATGGTTATACACACACACACACACACACACACACACCCTAAGCACTCACATATATAGTTGTTTCAAATTTTAAAAAATATAAATTTTGTATTTTTCTTTCTTTTTCTCACATTTGTGTTTCTATGACACCATATACATATTGAATTTTATAGCTCTATTTTATTCTTTTGGATTGCAGTTTAATAGTCCATGCATAACTTTATCAACATGTAATTATCCATTCTTTTTATCATGGACATTTGTGTTGTTTCCGGATTTTCTCTTTTATAACTCGGGCCTTGATAATCGTGTTTCTGTGTGATCCCTTGCATACATATGCTGAATTAATTAGACATATTTACCTAGAAATGAAATTATTGGTTTTGGGTGCAAGTTGGTGTTGAGCTTAACCAGGAAGTGCCAAAATATTTCCATCATGACCAAATGTGGCCTGGAAAGTTTTTTGGGGTCAATTTTCCTGTTTCTTCTAAGGAACAAAATTGATGTCACTGATTTTTCTGTCCTGTTTGTCATTTATGAATGTATGTACATATGCACGTATATATTTGCTTGCCATTTTATGTTTTTCCTCGACGTTACTTTGGAATTAATTTGCTGATGTGTAGTATTTCTGCAAGTGAAAGTTACCTATTTACTCAGCTCTTCCTTCTTTTCTAACACAGACATTTGAGGCTTATTGTCCCTTAACGCTGTTCTATCTGTATCCCCAGTCATTTGCCGAGATGTGTTTTCATTTTTAATTGATACAAAATATTTTCCACCTTTCTTTGAAATGTTTTTCTTCCACTCATTGTTTATTGCTATGTGTGTTTATTAATTTTAAAATATTTGATAATTTCCCCAGCATTTCCTTGTTGTACATTTATAATTTAATTCAACTGTTTCATCTATCATATTACCTATGATTCAGCATTTAAAAATTTATTTTGGTGAATGTTCCAGGGGTGCTAGACAAGTTTGTGGATTAGGAAGATTTGAGGTGGATGTTTTCTAAATGTCAGTTAAGAAAAAAATCATTCAAATGTTTTTCTTTATTTAAAAAAAATAGAGACGGGGTCTCACTATGGTGCCCAGGCTGGTCTCAAACTCCTGGCCTCAAGTGATCCTCCCATTTTGGCCTCCCAAAGTGCTAGGATTATTGAAATTATTAAATGTTTCATATCAACACCCAACCTTATGCACCCGCCGCCTACACAAATGTTTTTCAAGTCTTTCATATGCTTAATAATTTTCTGTGTACTTGTTCTGGAAGTGAGGTGAATGTTGCTATCTCTAGCTGCAATTTGGATGTGATTGATTATGTTTTGAATTATGCCTTTAATTTAATGTGTTTTGAGGTTCCAGCTTTAAGTGTGTAGGCATTTAGGATGATTATGTCTTATTTATGAATTTGCCTCTTTGTCATTATGAAGTACTCCTCTTCATATCTCCATATATCTCTTCTTTGTATGTGCATGGTGAAATATTTCATTCTTTGAGTTAAGAAACTTCTATTGAGGAATACTTTTTATTACAAACATTTACCTATTCTATGTATACAACTGACTAGAAGCATATTTTGCACTGGGCATTATCATGACAAGGTAATGTCATTCTTTCAATATTTACATCTTGTGGATTAGTATTTGAAGTGCAGCTTATGTAGACAGCATAAGGTTGGGTGTTGATATGAAACATTTAATAATTGCACACGTATTTGCCTCTTGGGATACTTCCACTTTTTTGAATTTCAAGTTACTAAATGGTATCATTAATCTTTGCTTCAAGAGCTTAACATTTATTGTAGAACAATGCTTCATGTAATAAATTGTGAGACATTTTTAATGGCACCTTTATTGCAGGAAAATGTTTTCCTTTTCAGGTTGAAAGATTCTAGTTTGAAATATTTTCTTGTAGCACTTTAAAAATGTTGGTCCACCTGTTTCTTACTTTCATAGTTTTGAATACAAAGTTTGCTGTCATTCTTGTATTTCTTCTTCTGTTTTTTATTTATTTATTTTTGACAGAATATCTTGCCGTCTCACCCAGGCTGGAGTGCAGTGGCATGATCTTGGCTCACTGCAACCTCTGCCTTCCAGGTTTCAGCAATTCCTGCCTCAGCCTCCTGAGTAGCTGGGACTACAGGCATGCGCCACCATACCCAGCCAATTTTTTTTTTTGTATTTTTTTTTTGTAGAGATGAAGTTTTGCCATATTGGCCAGAACTCCTGACCTCAAATGATCCACCTGCTTTGGCCTCCCAAAGTGCTGGGATTACAGGTGTGAGCCACTGTGCTCAGGCTATTTATTCCTTTTTATATAATATGAATTCACATTCATACATACCAGGGGTTAGGATTTCAACAAACGTTTCTGGGGGAGACCACTCAAAACACAGCACTCATCCTTGGTTATTTCCAGCCATGGAGCCTGTATCAATATCCTGGTGAATTATCTAAGCTGTCCACCTACCTACCCCAAATCCTCATGGTCACATAAAAGGCTAGTATAGTATAATAATTTTTCTTTCCCTGCTTATCTACAGTGATGAAGAAACGAATATTCAAAGGGAAAAATCTTAGCTTTAGGTATAGGGTAATTCTTCTTCCTATTTTTAAATAACTTCAACCTTTACTGTAGATTAAAGGTATGCATGCAGTGTTCCTAGGCTGTTTCCTGGT